>NT_167247.2:3924264-4143994 GCF_000001405.40 Homo sapiens
GGCCAAAGGATATGTCACTATCTAAAATTCACATCGAGAACCTAAGAGTAACTAATAATAAGTTTGATGCTTGTAGGAAAGGAAGAGCTGTTTGGTCACAGGATGTGGTTATTAGAACAGGGTTGTGGTTGAAGGGGAAGGATGATGACATAAATCTTTGCATAAACCACATTAACATGAAACCTTGATATTATCATTACATACTTTTCTTTTTATCTAATAAGGCAAAGTAGAGAAGTCAGCATCATTTGTCTCTGGCAGACTAAACTGTCAAGAAGGCATACCCAAGGTTAGTGGCAGGGAGAACTTCATTAGCATTAGGAATAATAGAAAATATTAAAGAATAAGTTTTGTAAGAAATATATAGACTCAACAGAGAGTAAAAAATGTACTTTACTGGAGAGAAAACAAACTATAAATGAATCATGAAGTTGGATGGAGATATAATCTATAGAATTAAAACTATTTTTATTCAAAATCTTCATGAGATTTTAAAAAAGAATATATGTTCTGAAAGTCTAGGATAAGTATACTGTCCTGTATTGTTGATGTTTTAAAGAGTAGTAGAGTGTATTATATAGCATATTATATAAAGGCGTGGGCCTGAGTTAGGCAATCTTTTTGTTTGTTGAGGTAAAATTCACATAACAAAATTAACCCATTTTAAGGTGCACAACTCAGTAGCATTTAGTGCATTCACCATGTTGTACAACCATCACTTCTATGTAGTTCCGTAACATTTTCATCACCTCCAAGGGAGACCTCGTACCCATTAAACAGTCACTCCCCATTCCCACTTCCTCCTCAGCAACCACAATCTGATTTTAGACAGGCCTTGTTTTGCATCTATGGTAGTGTAATTTCTACATCAATCTATGCAGAAGGAGCTTAGGCCCAGAATTCTGCATGGTGGGTAGGGGCTGTGGCTTGTCTTGAAGCTGGATTTGCTTGCATAGCAAATGCTTTATCTTTATTTATGTGTGTTTGGGTTATTTAAAAAAGAATGTCATAAATATTATGGCTATATTGTTAATTTTCAAAGTGTTTTTGTTGTTTTACCTATGGAGAAAAGATTAATAGCAATTTTATTTGTTTTACAAAGGGACTACCTTCTCCAATGTTTGTGAAAATAATAAGTAAAATTTTGTTTGGCTTTGTTTTGTGTATATATTTAGAGCTGTCTTGAATTTCTAATCTGTTTTAAGTTTTTTCTTTTTGTTTATCCTTATTGCTCTCTTAAAATGTTTTCTGTTTCTTCATATTATTTTACATGTAAGAGCGACTGAAAAATGGTCATGAGTTTGAAGAAATCAGATGGAATTTGGGGCTAATGTTTCAGGGTCTGATTCCTTCACTGGGGGACCATGAGGGCCATAGCATGGAATTATTTTCTCTGGGCCCATTCAATTTCTTCTGAGAGGAAACTTCATGTATTTTGTTTGAGGGATAGATGCCAGCCACCTATGTGGCAGAGGTCAGAGTGGAAAAGAGGTGGGGTTAACTATTCCCCATATAATCTTTCAATTAATCTCCTGAAGTGTCCCCAAGTTTTTTTAAGAAAATGTTTAAATAAATACTATTTCAAGTGTATGGTGATGTTTTTATAGCCACTAAAGATAAGATTGTAAGAAACTGTTTAGTGATGTAGAAGATTGTCTGATCTGTGGGAAATTATCCACAGATTAAGTAAAAAAAAAAAAACTACAAAGACTAATATTACAATTCTGTAAATGTATCTATACTGTGATATTTATATTTATAAAAACAGGAAGGATCTTAATGACACTCAGAAGACTAGTATTAGATGATAGAAGAACTACTACATTTTTCTCCTCCCAACAGTCTTAATAGGGCCTGCAGGTCTAAGGCGAGTGGCCTTGAAAAACCTCTGCTCAGGGAAATTTGTATGGAACATTTTAATATGGAGCATTGTGTAGAACTTCGCCTGTACTGTCCCTGTAGTGTCTTTTTTCCTCTCCTGCAGGTCTTCATGGCCCCCTGGGATCATAGCCACAAAGTTTCTGTTCTCAATTGCGCTCTCAGGTCTACTTTTCAATTCTTTTACATAACTTTACTCATCTCTACCTCTCCCTTCCCTCCAAAGGGTTCTTTTTTATCCACTGTCCTCATGGAAGTAAAACAATGACCTCACCATACCTCACAAATAAACAGAAGAAGAAAGATGTGAATCTTCCCTAAATCTAATGTCTTAAACTTGAAACCCATGAACCCTGTGGTACTCAGGTGAGCAGAGATAGAAGAGCACTACGCAGGTTCACACTCTTTTCCCTGAAGAAGGAAAAACTCAGAAAAAAACTCCAGTCTGTAGTTTTAGAGCAACTTTTGTGTGGGACCCTCCCAGACTGGAAATTTCTGGTCCCCCTCTTCTGGGGTTGGGAGCAAGCCCTGACTCTTCGGTGCCATGTAGCCTGGTCTAAGCTCAGGAACATTTCTATGGTTTTTGACAAAGCTGCAAAATTTTATTAGCCTTAACATGTTTGAATCTGTAAGATTTCTAAGTAAGTCTGACAGTAAAATTTCAGATTGTTCAGCTGACCATGAAGACTTCAAAGTGCATTCACTATTTAAAGCACCTGTAGATGAATTATGCTGGACTTGACCAAGAGTGTTTATCTGTGCATAAATCAAATACAGTCGACTTTACCTATCCAAAGTTCCACATCTGTGGATTCAACCTACCATGGATTTAAAACCACGGATATGGGTTATTACAGCATTTTTTTTTTTTTTTTGAGATGGAGTCTCACTCTGTCGCCCAGGCTGGAGTGCAGTGGCGTGATCTCGGCTCGCTGCAAGCTCTGCCTCCCGGGTTCACGCCATTCTCCTGCCTCAGCCTCCTGAGTAGCTGGGACTACAGGCACCCACCACCACGCCTGGCTAATTTTTTGTATTTTTAGTAGAGACGGGGTTTCACCGTGTTAGTCAGGACGGTCTCGGTCTCGATCTCCTGACCTCGTGATCCGCCCGCCTCAGCCTCCCAAAGTGCTGGGATTACAGGCATGAGCCACAGCGCCTGGCCTATTAAAGCATGTTATAGAAGAGACTGAGCATCCACAGATTTTGGTATCAGCTGGGGTCCTGGAACCAATCTCCTGGGGGTGCAGAGCCACAGTCAAGTATGAGAAACAAAGAGAAGAGGAAGGGCCCATTTCTGTCCATAAAGCATCTGCAGAGGAGGTCTTAATCAGCTTCATTAATGCAAATTTCCACCTCAGGGCTTGCCCTGGAGAAACACCTCTAGATGAAGACAATTGGATGTGTAAGTGGCCAGATCCACATGCAATTACTTCTTTAGAAGAATTAAGTCGTGGCTTGACAAATGGTCCCTTGTCTGTGATAGGAGCTGTGGCATAAATTCCCTTCTGGGCTACAGTGTAGCACAATTGCCCTCTCTCTATGGTATCATTCTGAAGTTAGACTGCATGGGTTTGAATTCTGGCTCCGTTTCTTACTATTGGTATAGCTTTAGTCAGGTATCCAACCCTTCCATGCTACAATTTCCTAATTGGTAAAATGGGGGAGGGAGATATAATAATATACCTACTTAATGGTATCATTCTAAAAGTTAAGTCAGTTAATACGAGTATGGTAAAAGCAATTAGAAGAACATCTGGCATGTGGTAAGTACTCAATACATATCAGGCACTATTATCATCATTACTATCAATTATTATCATCATCATGACTGGGAGGTAACATGGCAATTTGTCGACATTTTCTTACCAGCCTGGCTGATAAACATCCAGTATATCTGAAGAGAAAGTTTCAGAGTCAAAAGCAAAAAGAGGCCTGGCTTTCTTTATATTGGGTGGGAATAAGGATGATGGAAGGAATATGAGAGGAACAGGCAATTTGTCCTTTTGGTTTTATTTTAACTACCTCCAGGAAATTAACCTATTCTCACACATCTGGGGAAACAACCAAGTCCATTCCTTCACTTTAATTCTGATTTTTTTCCCACAATGTACACATCCCAGGATTTTTGGCTGACTTTAAAACTACAAACATCAGGTTCATACCAGTAAGCCAAACTCATAGTTGATTTGGAGGTTCATTGTCAATTTAGTAAACAGTGCCTAGATCATAAGATTCAACTGGCACATCATGAAACTCACTGGAGACTGTGTGGACTAAAGAAATGAAGCATCCTCTACCTTTTCACAAGTGCAAACACATTAAGATGCTGCTATTTACAGTTACTCTTTCCCTGTAGACCTGTGGGCATGAGCCATCCTTGGTTTAAGTCACTTGATAGTGACTCAAAGCACAAAGCACAGGGTAATGCCTGTTCTTTCCTTTTTCTTTTTTTTTCTTTTTTCTTTTTTCTTTTTTTTCCTTTTTGAGACAGAGTTTCGCTCTTGTTGCCCAGGCTGGAGCACAGTGGTGCGATCTTGGCTCACTGCAACCTCCACCTCCCAGGTTCAAGCAATTCTCCTGCCTCAGCCTCCCAAGTAGCTAGGATTACAGGCATGTGCCACTACACTCAGCTCATTTTGTACTTTTAGTAGAGATGGGGTTTCACCATGTTGGTCAGGCTGGTCTTGAACTCCTGACCTCAGGTGATCCACCCACCTTGGCCTCCCAAAGTGCTGGGATTACAGGCATGAGCCACCGCGCCCGGCCTACCTGTTCTTTAATCTGACTGTTGAACCCTTCACTTCTCTGGTTAGTTAATTTTCCAGACAGAGGGCGCTGAAAGGACACCCATGTATCATGTGTTATTTACAATTCCTCACCCCAATCCCCAATCTCCACAGCCTCACTCCCTTCTAGTCAGGTTTTGGTGACCATTGGCCCTTGCAGAAGCTGGGTTTAAGTGAAAGCAAAATAAGACATTAAATATTTTCCTCTTCAGCAAATCAGAACCCGGTGGGAAGCAGCATCATCTGTCTCTGGCAGACTAAGCCATGAAGACTGTAAGAAAAAATATTTAGTGATGGAGGAAGGAAAAAAGTATCCATTAGCAAGAGCAAAATAATATGAAAAGTATTTAACAAGGAATATAAAGAATCATCAAAGAAAATGTTATAAAACTTCTTTGAGACCACAAGAGATGAGTAAGTGGAGAAGAACATGGTGTTCACAGAGAGAGAAATATAGTAGATAGAATTAATACAGTTTCAAATTATGTACTTTCCTGCTGTTGGGTGGAGTGTTCTGTAAATGTAACTTAGTCAAGTTACTTGATAGCATTGTTCAGTTATTCTATATCTTTACTGACTTTCTGCTTATTTTTTCTATGAAATATTAAGAAATGAGTATAAAATCTCCAATGATAATTTTGGATTTTTCTATTTCTCCTTTCTTTTATGTCAACTTTGTCTCCTGTATTTTGAAGCTCTGTTTTTAGGTGCATATGCACTTAAGATTGTTATGTCTCTTTAGAGAAATAACCCTTTATCATTAAGTGATGTCTGTCTTTATCCCTATTAACATTTCTCGCTCCAATTTCTGCTTTGTCTAGTATTGACATAATCATTCTGAATTTCTTTTGATTTCTTTTGCATGGTATATATTTCCCTTCTTTTTACTTTTAATGAAGGTATGTCTTTATATTTAAAATGGGTTGCTGATAGGTTATAGTTCAATATTCCATTTTTATTCAATCTGTTCTTCTCTATCATTTAATTGGTCTGTCTGGACCAATTATATTTAATGTACTTATTAATATGGTTGAATTATTTTTACTAGATATTTCTATTAATTCTATGAAATATTTATTTTTATAATCATTTTTTGCTTTCTTTTGGATTAGTTGTTGCCCTAGAATTTTACATATATGAATAATCTATCTTCAAATCTACCTTAGATTAGCATACTCCAGATTTCTCTCTTATTCATTGTGCAATTGTCATATAATTTCTTTCTCATATTCCATAAACACACAATACATTGCTACTATTTTTATTTTAGAGAGTCTGTTACCTTATAAAGCAATGATTCTTAAATGGGGGCAATTTTCCCCTCAAGTGACATTTGACAATGTCTGGAGATAGTTTTTGTTGTCACTAATGGGGAGGCTGCTACCAGCATGTATTGGGTAGAGGCCAGGGGTGCTGTTAAAAGTCCTATAACACACATGACAGCCTCCCACAAAAAAAAACATTATCCTCTGGCTCAAAATATTAATAGTTCTCAGGTTGAGAAACCTCATTTTAGAGCATTTTTTAAACTTTTGAGTTCAAGGGTACATGTTCAGGTCTGTTACATAAACATGTAAATATGTGTCATAGGGGTTTGTTTTATAGATTATTTCATCACCCAGGTATTAAGCTTAGTAACCAATGGTAATTTTTCCTGATCCTCTCCCTCCTCCCACCCTCCACTCTTCAATAGGTCCTAGTGTGTGTGGTTCCCCTCTATGTGTCCATGTATGTGTTATTACAATTTCGCTCCCACTCATAAGTGAGAACATGCGGTATTTGGTTTTCTGTTCCTGTATTAGTCTGCTAAGGATAGTGGTCTCTAGTTCCATCCATGTCCCTGCAAAGAACATGATCTCATTCTTTTTTCTTTTTTTTGAGACAGAGTCTCTCTCTGTCGGCCAGGCTGGAGTGCAGTGGCACGATCTCGGCTCACTGCAAGCTCCGCCTCCTGGGTTCACACCATTCTCCTGCCTCAGTCTCCCGAGTAGCCATCATGCCTGGCTAATGTTTTGTATTTTTAGTAGAGACAGGGTTTCACCGTGTTAGCCAGGATGGTCTTGATCTCCTGACCTCATAATCTGCCCGCCTCGGCCTCCCAAAGTGCTGCGATTACAGGCGTGAGCCACCGTGCCGGCCGATCTCATTCTTTTTTATGGCTGCGTAGTATTCCACGGTGTATATGTACCAAATTTTCTTTATCCAGTCTATCATTGATGGGTATTTAGGTTGATTCCATGTCTTTGCTATTGTGAATAGTGCTACAATGAGCATACGTGTACACGTATCTTTATAATAGAACAATTTACATTCCTTTGGGTATATAGCCAGTAATTGGATTGCTGGGTCAAATGACATGTCTGCCTTTGGGTCTTTGAGGTATTGCCACACTGTCTTCCACAATGGTTGAACTAATTTACACTCCCGCCCACAGTGTATAAACGTTCCTTTTCCTCCACAACCTCATCAGCATCTGTTAGTTTTTGACTTTTTAATAATAGCCATTCTGACTGGTGTGGGATGGTCATTGTGGTCTTGATTTGCATTTCTCTAATGATCAGTGATGTTGAGCTGTTTTTCATATGACTGTTGGCTACATGTATGTCTTCTTTTGAGAAGTGTCCGTTCATGCCCTTTGCCCACTTTTTTATGGAGTTGTTCGTTTTTTTCTTGTACATTTGTTTAAGTTTCTTATAGATGCTGGATATCAGACCTTTGTTGGATGCATAGTTTACAAAACTTTTCTCCCATTCTGTATGTTGTCTGTCCACTCTGCTGATAGTTTCTTTTGCTGTGCAGAAGCTCTTTAGTTTAATTAGATCCCATTTGTCAATTTTTGCTTTTGTTGCAATTACTTTTGCCGATGCCTATGTCCTGGGTAGTATTGCCTAAGTTGTCTTCCAGGGTTTTTATAGTTTTGCGTTTTACATTTAAGTCTTTAATACATCTTAAGTTAATTTTTGTATATGGTGTAAGGAAGAGTTCCAGTTTCAACCTTCTGCATATGGCTAGCCAGTTCTCCCAGCACCATTTATTGAATAGGAAATCCTTTCCCCATTGCTTGTTTTCCTCAGGCTTGTTGAAGATCAGATAGTTGTAGGTATGAGGTCTTATTTCTGGTGGGTTCTCTATTCTGCTCCATTGCTCTATGTGTCTGTTCTTGTACCAGTACCATGCTGTTCTGGTTACTGTAGCCCTGTAGTGTAGTTTGAAGTCAGGTAGTGTGATGCCTCCAGCTTTGTTCTTTTTGGTTAGGATTGCCTTGACTGTTCAGGCTCTATCTAGTTCTGTGAAGAATCTCAATGGTATTTTTTAATAGGAATAGCATTGAATCTATAAATTGCTTTGGGCAGCACTTGCTTTTAAAGCTTTTATTAAAAATTATTTGTCATTTGTTTAATGATTAATGCTAAGGAAAGGTATCTGTATAGCCGGGTGGGGTGGTGTGCCCCTGTAGTCCCAGCTACTTGGAAGACTGAGGTGGGGCCTGGGAGTTTGAGGCCAGCCTGAGCAACACAGTGAGACTCCATCTCTAAAATTAAGTAAGTAAATTAAAAGATCTATACAAAGAATGTTTACAATATGTACATTAGGACTGGGGAGTTCCTGGGAGGAGAATCAATCACTGCTGGACATGAGGAATATCAGTCTCCAGACAGTCAGCTCTGTAAACTGATTCAGATGATTAAGAATTTCAGTCCAAGTCAACAAGTATTTATTGATTACATACCATAGTCTCTGCAAAGTCTTCATGAAATAACCTCTTAGGTTTAGCTGTAGAATACTCTGGAGCTATGGAGAAGGTAGATCTGGACATGGAGGTAATTTTGCATGTTTTTCAGTAGAATAGCATTACAAAGCAATCTTTCCTCATATTATTATTATTATTATTATTATTTTGAGACGAAGTCTCACTCTGTCACCCAGGCTGGAGTGCAGTGGCACGATTTCGGCTCACTGCAAGCTCTGTCTCCCAGGTTTACACCATTCTCCTGCCTCAGCCTCTTGAGTAGCTGGGACTACAGGCGCCCGCCATCACGCCTGGCTAATTTTGTTTTTGTATTTTTAGTAGAGATGGGGTTTCACTGTGTTAGCGAGGATGGTCTTGATCTCCTGACCTCGTGATCCGCCTGCTTCTGCCTCCCAAAGTGCTGGGATTACAGTCGTGAGCCACCGCGCCTGGCCTCCTCATATTATTTTTTATTGTGCAGTTTATTCAAGTGAGTTATTTAAAACAACTAGTTCACACACATAGGAGTTGTTGCTGATAAAGAATTGGTGGAAATGATATTAAATAACAATTGTTTTTATAAGTTTCCTCTGCTTCATTAATTTTATGATTGTGAGAGGCCACGTGACTGGATATCAGCATACAGGACTTTGTATCAGAATATGAGCTTGGCAGTCATAAGAGATTACTTACAATTCTTCACAATTCTGTATTTTCATTTCTAAAACTCCATAAAGTTTTTATAAGAATAAATTGTAGCACCTTATTCATACTGGAATTCAACAGTTCTTAGTTCAAGTCTCCCTTGAGAAAGCTTCACTGTGTTTTTAGTGCAGATTAGTAAAGATAAGATCTTGACTGGTAGGTGAGTGGGTGGAATTTATTTCAAATATGGGGGCTCTCCAATGCTTGCACACCAAATTCATTTACATATTGTCAAAAGCCAGAGGATATTTATGATAAGTTGCAAAAATAGCTACAAATTCTTTGTAGCCCATTCTGTCAAGAAATGCAATCTATTAATCCACCTCTTGATGTGAGCTAGTACTATGACTTGCTTTGAATAACAGAATGTAATGGAAGTGATGTTGTGAGTTTTAAGTTTCAGCTCAAGACACCTACTGTTTCTATCTTGCACAGGAGAGCTTTCCAGCACCTGTGATAAGCCTCAGCCCGCCTGCCGGATAATGAGCCCACATGGATTGAGAGAGGCCTCCTATCCCTGCCAAACCTATTGATGCTACAGAGATGTGAGGGAGCCCACCTGAGAAAAGCTGAACCTGCCCAGTACATAAAAACCACTCAGGTGGGTTGAGCACAATTTCCTGTCTTACAGAATCATGAGGAGACACTAAACAATTATTTGAAGTCATTAAGTTTTGGAGTACTTTGTTACATAAAAAAATCTGACAGATACAAGAGTCTTCAAAAAAATTTTGTTTTTCAGCAATGTCTTAGTGCTTCTGTGGCTCACAGGCTCCCACATGCCTGGAGTGCTACAGGGAGAAGGTTAAATGAATGAGGAAAAATTGATAGGCTTTCCCAGCCCAAAGCATGATGTTATTATCATTATCATTATTAATATTTGTCTTTATATAGGAGTTACCACTTGGGAATAGTTGCTATGTGTCAGACACTGGATTGTATTTAACTTTATAATTGTACTTATCTATCATTTCATTTTACCATATTAACTATCATCCAATAATTTTCCTTCTGTTTTATAGAAAATAACCTTAAGGCTCAGGTGTTTTGAGTAGCTTGCCCAAGGTGATGCAGCTGATAAAATGAAAAGCAGCATGGAATACATATTTATCTTATTACAAAATCTGTATTCTTTTTACTTTGCTACTCTAGACTCTCTTATTATTGTGAAGCAGCTTTAACTACTGCAAGACAGAAGTCTTGGCCTTCAGAGTAAAACTTCACCAGTGCATAAAGTCAGACTAAAGCAATTTGAAAATATACAGTCTTAGAGAATGTTATAACTGTTTATTAGAACTAACATAAATTCTACCTAATTTCTTAGAGGGCTCTTAATGATGTCAATTATAATGGCACATCCCATTGTTATTTTAGTCATGGAATCAATGGCATGTCAATAAGTGCTTTCTGAGAAAATTGTTGGACAAAGTACTATTTTGAACTCCAAATTTTATTCCCACTATTAATTTATGAAGAGGGCCTTTTCTCTTTCTACTAGACAAAGGTAACAAATTAGCTCTTGTTAAAATGGTATGCTGTTCTTCTGAGTCTCATTTACTTATTACTTTACCTTACATTAAAATTATGACCTGAAGACAGAAGCAACTGGAACAACGTTCACTGTGTTATGGCCGGATGAAGCAGGAAGAGGAAAGAGACAAAACTAGGTTAAAGATAGAAATGGCATCTATTGGGCCAGTCGTGGCCTCACGCCTGTAATTCCAGCACTTTGGGAGGCCAAGGCAGGCAGATCACGAGGTCAGGAGATCGAGACCATCCTGGTTAACACAGTGAAACCCCATCTCTACTAAAAATACAAAAAATTAGCCGGGCGTGGTGGCAGGCGCCTGTAGTCCCAGCTACTTGCAGTGAGCCGAGATTACGCCACTGCACTCCAGCCTGGGCGACAGAGCAAGACTGTCTCAAAAAAAGAAAAAAAGAAATGGCGTCTATTATCTCTTCAATGACTTTGCCTTGCTTGGACTTTCCCTTCACCCCACAGGATGTGAGGTCTGAAACGGCACCCTCAACTTCCCATCCAAGATACAATTGTAATCCTACATTTAACACCCTAACTTCTTAACTGGAGTTGAGTTATTTAAACTGTAATTTTAATAGGTGAAATTCTGGACTACCATCCCAAAACATTTTGCTCATTTGCCAAAGTCCTAAGGAATTTCCATGAGATACAAAGCAGGTAAGTCTGGATACAGGAAAAAAGATAAAAACATGTTATTTGCTACACAGCCAGAAGGATATTGAGTGGCAAAGGGAGCACATCTCAAAGGGGACCTCAAAAACCCTCTTCATCCACAATGGCAGGAGCTAGAAAGAATAAAGCCACCTATAGGGTCAAATATCTCTCCTAATCATGTTAAGGCACTGGATTCTGAATTCGCACAGAAGGAGACTCTCACCCATCACTCCTCACAAGGACTCATGGCTTGCCCCATAGCATCACATCTGTGCTGCTTATCAGCTGCGTGACCCTGGGAAAAGTCCTTCAACTCTCTGGGCTTTAATGTCCTCCTCGGAAAATGAGAACGATATTAAAATATGACAAGTATATGTAAAGAGTCCAGGAATTTTTCATTCCAAGTGCAGTGTATGTACATTTCTCACAACTGCCTAATGAGGTACCTCAATGCCTCCAGCCAAAGACCAGCAGGAGCATACAAGCAATGAACAAGTCAGCTTTATTGTTTATTGCAATGATGGATAAAACTCACCATGAGAATCATGCAGCCCCTCAGTAAGAGATTGTTGGAACCAAAGAAGTAGAACCACGAGAATACATATATTAAGAGAATGATGCAAGGAATTAATTTTTGCATCTGTGGGGGTGGGCTAGGCAAGTCAGAGATCCTCTGGGAGGTAGTTATCAGGAAGGGCAGGCTGGAACTCTCAGCACAGGCTGACACACTGTCCAGAGTGGAATTTCTGTTTCCTCAGAGAAACCTCAGCTCTGCTCTTAAGGCTTTTCAACAGCTTAGATTAAGCTCACCCAGTTTTCCTAGGATAAATTCTTAAAGTCAACTGATTATGAACTTCAATGACATCTACAAAATATCTTCACAGCAACATCTAGATTATTAGTGTTTGACTGAATAACTGGGGATCACAGTCTAGCTGACACATAAAATTGACCATTAATCAGTTGTAAGGTTTGTGCTTGTTTTAGGTGATTTTGGGGAGGATTTAAGAAAGAGGGATTTTGCTTTTAATTGGATTCTGACAGAAAGTGGAGGGTTGGGGTGGCAATGTTATGATTGGGTAGCTTCATAAATCCTACCTAGAGGGACAGAAGACTATCCTGAGGCTACAGACGTGGTTGGTAAAGAAGCAGTAATCACTCCCAAGAGAGAGATGTGCCTGGTCATTTTTGTGGTTTGGACAATATTCATGTTTTGTCTGGGTTCAGACATGATGACTGAGCATTCAGGTGTTCTGTCTCAATCCACTGTGCTCACAGAGTACCTGTCTGATTCTGATGTTCTATGAAATCCTTTATCTCCAACAGGAGAACCAAAACCACCTGGGAGTGCCAGGCTAGCTGCTAGCAACCCCAAGCCTTCGTTAATTCCATCCAGACAGCTCTCAGGTGTCAGGACATTTTTTTTTTGTTTCACTTTTTTTTTTACAGTCTCTGCCAGTGGGAGGTAAAACATAGTGCTGAGAATCTCAGAAGGCCATTTATCAAGGACAGAGTGTTTCTAAATAGAAGCTCCATTAACTTATGGTTTCTATCACATACAGAAAATAGATGCATCTGAAAAAATATAATAAGTTTCCCTCTAAGGACTAACTTTAGCTCAATCTCTAGTCCCTTGCAAATATTTGGAATTTTAATGGGGTAGGATAACAAGTTTTAAAAGATCTGGTAGTTTAAGAAAAGAAAACCATTTTTCTAAGTCAGTGCAATTCTTCTTATTCTACCCTCAACTTTTGACTTCATATTCTTAATTTTTTTAAAAAAAGTTCTTAGAGTAATTGAGCCAGCCAAATTTTAAATGTAATCAATGTCCCCAAATTTCCTTTAAACATACTCAAGAAGCACCAAAACACAGAATGTAAGGATTACTCAATGCAAAGAAAAACTGTATAAAGTCTCATACAGTTACTATAGACAGCACCATCTGACATTATAACCCCTTTTTATTGCCCTGGCCAAAACCACTTGGATCTTTTGAGTGCTTGAGAAGAACTTACCCAGCTGGATTTATACAAGTAGAAAAGGCAAAGGTATTGCTTGGCTACCACCAGCAGAGATCCCTAGGTAGGTGGGGTCAACTTAACATTTGGAGAATTCCACACGCACTATGGAAGCAAAAAGAAAAACAGCTAACCCACATACAGAAGCCAGAGAAAGGGCACGGGATGGGGACTGCCAGGGAGGGAAATCAACTCAGGGAAAAATTCCTGGAGGTTGTAACCCAGAAAATCCTGAAGGATGCCATATAACTGATGACCTCATCTATCCATGAGGCTGCTCAGAAATGCCCTCCCCTGGCCAGGCACGGTGGCTCATGCCTGTAATCCAAGCACTTTGGGAGGCTGAGGCAGGCAGATCATGAGGTCAGGAGTTCAAGACCAGCGTGGCCAACATAGTGAAACTCTGTCTCTACTAAAAATACAGAAATTAGCCGGGCATGGTGGCAGCCGCCTGCAGTCCCAGCTACTCGGGAGGGTGAGGCAGGAGAATCGCTTGAACCTGGGAGGCAAAGGTTGCAGTGAGCCGAGACCATGCCATTGTACCTCAGCCTGGGTGACAGAGTGAGACTACGTCTCGAAAAGAAAAGAAAAAGAAAAGAAAAAGAAAAAAAAAGAAAAATGCCCATCCCTCTTGCGAATGGCAGACATGCACACACCAGAGAAGATTCCAATTTAGTGTCCTCCCTCTGTTCATAGAACAATTCCTCAAGTCCACTCTGAGTAGAGGCTGCATCACAACAAGGGGATTGCCCTGTCTCCTTCCAGGGCTCTTAATACAAACTCTTCAGCTAGTAACTGAGATGTCACCATGGGGGATTTTTCTAATTGGCCAAAACCTGACCTGGCAGGGTTTGGTTTGGGTGTCTTCAGATTTCCTTGTCTTGAGGCCCTCACAATTGCTCTACAGCTCAGAACAGCAACTGCTGAGGCTGCCTTGGGAAGAGGATGATCCTAAACAAAGCTCTGATGCTGGGGGCCCTCGCCCTGACCACCGTGATGAGCCCTTGTGGAGGTGAAGACATTGTGGGTGAGTGCATGAGTGAGGAATGTTCTCTGGAGCTGAAAAACAGTAAATTGAAGGAAAAGAGAGAAAGCGATTTGCAGAGAAATTGTAGAGATTTCCTAAGACCCCTTTCAGTATTAAGAGAATTAAAAATTATAGCTGTTCCTCCTTCAGGAAACCAGAGCCCCAACCTACTCTTTTTGTTATGTATGCTTTTGTGTTCACTAAGGATGCTATTCTGTTTATATTATATTCAGTGACAACAGCCTGGAGGTCTCTATGTCGTTCCGTCATGATTGCCTCAAAAATTAGTGAAGTTTCCATCAGTGGATAATTTTTTATTATTAAAAATGTATGAAGTGTCATTCTCAAATTTCCCTGAACAACTTTTGAAGCTTTTCGTATGTCTCCTGTAGTAGATCTTGGGGTCGTTCCATCAATTATATACTCTATAGATATTAAAAAAGTTGCCCGTTTCTTTCTCTCAGACTTACTCACATTTCCACATGGGAACTGGCACAGGTGGGGAGTGGGTAAAGGAGTCCAGCAGGCTGAATGCCTTCAACAATCATTTTACCACATGGTCCTCACTTACTCTCAGCTGCCTCATATGTGTCACCTCACAAATAATCAAATAAAATGGGCATGTAGCTAAGCTTTGTAAATAGTGAAAACATGGATGTCAATTGTTTTTACATATTTCTATTACAGGTATAGCTTCACATTTTTCTTTAGCAAAATAAGGGATCCTTTTAGTTTAAAATTGAGAAGTAGAAAAAATTGGTAAATTAAATCATTTTATTCTCAAATTATCAACCCAAATTACCTGTTCTTCACCTCATCTAATAAAGTCCTATAAAAAGAAAAGTGGGCCAGACATGGTGGCTCATGCCTGTAATCCCAGCACTTTGGGAGGCCGAAGCAGGAGGATCATTTGAGCCTGGGAGTTTGAGACCAGCCTGGGCAACATAGCAAGACCTCATCTCTACCAAAAAATAAAATAAAAATTAGCCAGGTGTGGTGGTGCATGCCTGTGGTGCCAGCTACTCAGAAGGCTGCAGTGGGAGGAGCACTTGAGTCCAGGAGGTGGAAGCTGCAGTGAGCCATGATGGCACCACTACACTCCAGCCAGGGCAACAGAGAGAGACTCTGTCTCAAAAAGAAAGAGGAAAGAAAGAGAGAAAGGAAGGAAAGAAGGAAAGAAGGAAGGAAGGAAGGAGAAAGGGAAGGGAGGAAGGAAAAAAGAAAGAAAGAAAGAAAACGGAAGGAAGGAAGCACAGATTAATTATTTGGTCTCTTTGTCTCCTCTGCCTTTGTCGTCCATCTCTTCCCACCTCTCTTCATGCATTCCTTTCTCCCTCTTCCCTTTCAGGATCCATCTCTGACTCCCTGCTCCTTTATAGAGATGGACAGTGAGTTTGTAAAACAAAAGTTGAAAAGTCAGATAGTTAAAAGGGGAAGTGAACTGGAAGGTACTCTAAACTTTCACAACCTTATTAACCATGGCTGCTCCCATTCTGATTTTGTTCAGCAGTGGAAGTTTCACCCGCTCCTCCAGAGCGCTTGGCTTCTTTGTTCCAAATTTCCTTTCTTCAACCTCACACCAGAGTGCCCTGGTCAGGCTCAGCTCATCCATTAGGCACAATGTGGGCAGTGCAGGGGACCCTCCAGACTGTAAAGCCACATGAGAATGTTTTAACTCCTTTTAAAATTATAAAAAAATGAAATTGTAGAGCCTAAGAAAATGTTTTAACTTTTAATTCAGCCTAGATTATATTGTCTTTATACCAATTCAGTCATAAAATATAGTTTTCCATATTTTTATGGAGGAAGGCGTCCACACAAGCAAGAGTGCTTGGGGCTCACATGTCAGAACGCAACCCTGATCATGGCTGATCCTGGCCTTCGTGTGGTTCTGCTAACTATGTGCCTGTCAGTCTTCCCCAAAATCTATGTGGTCCTCAAATATAACAACTGTCATTCAATACACATGTTTGAGCACCCAGTGAGCTAAGTTTTAAGGATTCAAAGATGAAAAGTCATGCTGTCTCCTCTGCAAAGGGTGCTCAGACTAGTGATGGAAACAGTATGGGATGAAAGAAAGCAGAAGGCCATTGCTGAGCAGGCAGTGGACTCAGCAGAGGCTGAAACTATACAAGTGACTTGGTTCCAGCTGGGCCAGCAGGATAACCAGATGAAAAGAAGGATTGCATATATTCCATATATATTTATGTTTGAACAAAGAGTCAAGGTTTATTGCAAGGATAAGGAGGTTTTGTTGGTGGCCTGTTAAGACCATCCAGGGTGGTCATACTGGATAGGGAAGAAGGTGAGCTGGAAGAGGAACAGACAAACTTGGATGGCCAGATGTTGAGATGGAGGAGATGGAGGTCATAACGTGGTCAAAAACATGTTGATGAGAGGACTTAGCTACAAAGTTGTTAACTTAAGCAGAAACCTCAAGGATTGATTTTATGATTTCTCCAGGAAGTCCTAAAAGTTAATTTCATTTCAGGGAGAAAAACAACAGACCACTGCAAAGACCAGGAACATGAAAGGATAATGTAGTTTGGTTTGCTTGGCAGATACTTGTGAAAGATGTTGGACTGTAAGGCTGTCAATATCCTCCTCGCAGAACTTACTACAGTACATTGTATCTGCTCCCTTACCTACCTGACTCTCCCACTATTCAGTTTGTTCCTTAATGGTAGACCATGCCTGATCGGTGTTTTACACATCCCCTGCTATGTCTGATACTTGTGGATGCTCAGAAAGTGGGGAAGGAAGGAAAGATACGATGGTAAAAGGCTTACACATGTCTTGAGCAGAATGTTCAGTTTGGCTCATTTGGCTGGAGTCATACTGCATGGCTGCCATTCTGCTCTGGCATCCTCAGAGAAGCACACTGCCCATTAAAGGAAAAAGGGTGAATACAAATGTTGAGTCAGAACACTGCAGACATTTAGTAACCTCCTTCAGAGGAAAAAAAAAGGTGGGGGGAATGACAGAAATCCAAAAACTAGTAGAGCTTCCACTTTTTCATTTCAGAAGAAATCAGTTACTCTCCTCTAAGGACCATTACTATTAACAAAACAGAGACCTTAGAAGGAAGCATTATTTACTTATCATATATTTTGTAATGTTATTACCCTTCTTGTTATACTCTTTCTTATACCCTACCATTGTTAGCAGAAATTATTTTAAATTAATAAGATCCTGCATGCTTTTCCTTTTTCTAAAAAAAGAAAGATCTCTGTGTAGAATGTCCTGTTCTGAGCCAGTCCTGAGAGGAAAGGAAGTATAATCAATTTGTTATTAACTGATGAAAGAATTAAGTGAAAGATAAACCTTAGGAAGCAGAGGGAAGTTAATCTATGACTAAGAAAGTTAAGTACTCTGATAACTCATTCATTCCTTCTTTTGTTCATTTACATTATTTAATCACAAGTCTATGATGTGCCAGGCACTCAGGAAATAGTGAAAATTGGACACGCGATATTCTGCCCTTGTGTAGCACACACCGTAGTGGGAAAGAAAGTGCACTTTTAACCGGACAACTATCAACACGAAGAGGGGAGGAAGCAGGGGCTGGAAATGTCCACAGACTTTGCCAAAGACAAAGCCCATAATATCTGAAAGTCAGTTTCTTCCATCATTTTGTGTATTAAGGTTCTTTATTCCCCTGTTCTCTGCCTTCCTGCTTGTCATCTTCACTCATCAGCTGACCATGTTGCCTCTTACGGTGTAAACTTGTACCAGTCTTATGGTCCCTCTGGGCAGTACAGCCATGAATTTGATGGAGACGAGGAGTTCTATGTGGACCTGGAGAGGAAGGAGACTGTCTGGCAGTTGCCTCTGTTCCGCAGATTTAGAAGATTTGACCCGCAATTTGCACTGACAAACATCGCTGTGCTAAAACATAACTTGAACATCGTGATTAAACGCTCCAACTCTACCGCTGCTACCAATGGTATGTGTCCACCATTCTGCCTTTCTTTACTGATTTATCCCTTTATACCAAGTTTCATTATTTTCTTTCCAAGAGGTCCCCAGATCTTCTCATGGCAATTGCTGAAATTTTATCATTTCTCATCTCTAAAATCACATATTCCAATGTAATACAAGGGTCTTTCCATTATGCATTCATTAAATCCTTCTAGGAGAGGTCTCATCAACCTTCTACTTTATTAAACATGCCCACAGAGAGAAGGGCACAGGAGTAAAGCAGAGGCAATGTGTCGTTGCTCCCAAATGTGTCGTTACAATGTGTCGTTGCTTACCCAAAGAGGTAAATAAGGCCTCTTTGACCAGCAGGAGAGGAAATGCTGGTAGGAAGACTCTTCCAGGATGTAATGCAGAAGAAGCTCAGGGCAGAGCTATTCACACTTTACACCAGTGCTGTTTCCTCACCATAGAGGTTCCTGAGGTCACAGTGTTTTCCAAGTCTCCCGTGACACTGGGTCAGCCCAACACCCTCATCTGTCTTGTGGACAACATCTTTCCTCCTGTGGTCAACATCACCTGGCTGAGCAATGGGCACTCAGTCACAGAAGGTGTTTCTGAGACCAGCTTCCTCTCCAAGAGTGATCATTCCTTCTTCAAGATCAGTTACCTCACCTTCCTCCCTTCTGATGATGAGATTTATGACTGCAAGGTGGAGCACTGGGGCCTGGATGAGCCTCTTCTGAAACACTGGGGTAAGGATGAGTTTCACCATTTTTTGATGCTTTCTTGTCTGTCAAGTTCAGAACTTCCTGCCTTTTACTCTATATCCCAAAACTTGTTTTCCACACTTCATGAGTTTCTTTTGTCTTTTTTTTGAAAGAATTAAGCAACAAAAGCACAGATTTATTAAAAAAGAAAGTACACTCCACAGGGTGGGAGCAGGCCTGCCACTTCATGGGTTTCTAATAACAGACTTCACTCTCCTCCCTAAGCTGGGGGCCTTGAGTCTTTGCAGAGCCAACCCTCTACCCCATCCCATCCCACACACATGCACATGAGCAAACTCTGCATTCTGACCTCAACAACTTCACTTCCACAGAGCCTGAGATTCCAACACCTATGTCAGAGCTCACAGAGACTGTGGTCTGCGCCCTGGGGTTGTCTGTGGGCCTCGTGGGCATTGTGGTGGGGACCGTCTTGATCATCCGAGGCCTGCGTTCAGTTGGTGCTTCCAGACACCAAGGGCCCTTGTGAATCCCATCCTGAAAAGGAAGGTAAGATTGAGATTTGTTAGAGCTGAAGCTGCAGGAAGGAAAGTGGGAGGAGGCTGTGGACATGAATGTGGTTGAAAGTTGTAGGGGAATTGGGAAGTGGCATGATGATGACACAGGAGCCCCCTTGGACCCATCGATCTCATGTCTGTCCTGTTGCAGGTGCATCACCATCTACAGCAGCGGAAGAGTGGACTTGCTACATGACCTAGCACTATTCTCTGGCCCGATTTATCATACCCTTTTTCTCCTGCAAATGTTTCTCCTCTTACCTTTTCTCTGCTTTTTTTTTCTTAAGCTTCTGTATCCCCTCAGAGCTCACAAATGCCTTTGAATTCTTTCCCTGACCTCCTGATTTTTTTTTCTTTTCTCAGGTGTTACCTACTAAGAGATGCCTGGGGTAAGCCGCCCAGCTACCTAATTCCTCAGTAACATCGATCTAAAATCTCCATGGAAGCAATAAATTCCCTTTAAGAGATCTATGTCAAATTTTTCTATCTTTCATCCGGGGCTGACTGAACCTATGGCTAAGAATTGTGACACTCTCATGTTTCAAGCCAATTTCATCTCATTTCCCAGATCATATTTCATATCCAGTAACACAGAAGCAACCAAGTACAATATAGCCTGATAATATGTTGATTTCTTAGCTGACATTAATATTTCTTTCTTCTTTGTGTTCTCACCCTTGGCACTGCCGCCCATCCCTCAATTCAGGCAACAATGAAGTTAATGGATACTCTCTGCCCTTTGCTCAGAATTGTTATAGCAAAAATTTTAAAACCAAAAAATAAGTTTGTACTAATTTCAATATGGCTTTTAAAAGTATGATGGAGAAATAAATTAGGATAAAGGAACTTTGAATCACAAAAATATCAAAAGTAAAAATTTATTCTCAAAACTTTGCATTTGTAAAGAATGATGACAGTAGAAGCCTTCCTCTCCCCTCCTCGCCTTTAGGGAATAAAAATTCTTTAGGTAGGAAAAGAAATGGAAGTCAGAAAAACATTAGAAAAAGACAGTAATGTGGGTATCTGAAAAGGAACAAATACTTATTCCTCACATAGGGTTAGTGACAATGGGAAAAGGGATAGGAGTAGAAGCCACAGACATATCTAGGAGCCCTGAATAGAGGCGCAGTCTGCCTCACCTCCTGAATGAAGCTTTGCTAGATAACCACGTAGCTTTCCCTGTGCCACCCTTGCATGAAGCAGACAGTATAGTGGATATGGCAGGATGTTTCTAGGAAACATGCCGATACAAAACAATGCCAGTATCTTCAGAAATCCCCAGCCCTTTCCCCTCACCCCTCCTGGCTAAGGAAAGCACTAGCTTATGAGAGAAACCCTAGGAGGAACAACACAGTTGAGACAATGTAGCAGCAGCTGTGGGTGCTGTGTCCTCCACTGGATTGGCCATTTCCTAGCAGAAACTCTCCCAGAGGAAATGGTCAGCAGTGACCCCATGGCTCTAAACAGCTATGAAATCTGTGAGGGTATTTCTATCCATGCTACCTGCATCAGTGAGTTTAAATTTTAATTGGAGAAAAAAGACAAAATATTAACACATTAATTGATACAGTATAGTTTGGTGCAAAGAACCCTAAATCCAAATCAAGGATTCAGTACTTTGAAGCTAGTATTTTAAACTTTATAAATGGGTAAAGTATCTAACATTTCTGGCCTTATTTTTCTCTTCCACAATGGAGGAGTAATAATACTTTCCTTGCAGAGCTATTGATGGAATTTGAATAATCTTGATATATAGTCAATGCCTTACATATAGTACATAAATACACAAGAAAACATTGTGGTTATATTTATAATTAATTTATTTAAAAGAATGGATCACGTTATATGAAAAGTACTTTTGTTTTTCTCAGCCCCTTAATGATTTAGGAGATTCAAATGTATGTAGAACTATGGGTGAATTTCTTTTCATATGATCATTGCAGGATATTGTTTTCTCCAAAATGAGAGAGGCTGAGATCAATTGCTAAGAGAACTCTTAGGATGAGAAATCGTAATATTTCACTTTGGTTTTCAACTCTTTAAGAAGGGATATATTCCCTCCTTGTGGCCTATAAGTCTTTATTCAAAGTATTTCATATGCAACAGATGTTTATGCATGTTTACTTTGGGGAGGAGGTGAAGAAAGTTCAAGGAGAAAATAATTTAAAATGCAGACTAGGAATCAGTAAGCAAGGGAGTCTGAACAAGTGATCATCAAAAAAATGTCCATCACAGAGCACAGAGCATTTTTAGGGCAATGAAACTACTCTATTTGATACCACAATGTTGAAAAATGTCATTATGCATTTGCCCAAATCCACAGAATGTACAACACCAAGAGTGAGACAATGTAAACCATGGACTTTGGGTGATAATGATGTGCCAATGTAAGTTCATAAATTATAGCAAATGTACCACTCTGGAGGGAAATGTTGCTAATGGGGGAGGCTATGCATGTGTGGGAGCAGAATGTATCTGGCAGCCGTCCCCAACGTTTTTGGCACCAGGGACCAGTTTTATGGAAGACAATTTTTTCACAGATAGTGGGGGGAATGTGGGTATGATTTGGGGATGAAACTGTGAAACTGTTCCACCTCAGATCAAAAAGCATTAGCAAGGTTCTCATAAGGAACATGCAACCTAGATCTTTTGCATGCACAGTTAACAATAGGGTTCGCGCTCCTATGAGAATCTAATGCCACCACTGATCTGACGGAAGGCGGGGCTCAGTTGGTAATGCTACCTCGTCCACTGCATGGTCCAGTTTCTAACAGGCCACCAGCTGGTACTGGTCCATGGCCCAGGGGGTTGGGGACCTTTGGGATATCTCTGCAGCTTCTGCTCAGTTTTTCTGTGAACTAGCAACTGCTTTAAAATAAAGTCTATTTTTTTTATTATACTTTAAGTTTTCGGGTACATGTGCACAACGTGCAGGTTTGTTACACATGTATACATGTGCCATGTTGGTGTGCTGCACCCATTAACTCGTCATTTACATTAGGTATATCTCCTAATGCTATCCCTCTCCCCTCCCCCCACCCCACAACAGGCCCCGGTGTGTGATGTTCCCCTTCCTGTGTCCACGTGTTCTCATTGTTCAATTCCCACCTATGAATGAGAACATGTGGTGTTTGGTTTTTTGTCCTTGGGATAGTTTGCTGTGAATGATGGTTTCCAGCTTCATCCATGTCCCTACAAAGGACATGAACTCATCATTTTTTATGGCTGCATAGTATTCCATGGTGTGTATGTGCCACATTTTCTTCATCCAGTCTATCATTGTTGGACATTTGGGTTGGTTCCAAGTCTTTGCATTTGTGAATAGTGCCAAAATAAACATACATGTGCATGTGTCTTTATAGCAGCATGATTTATAATCCTTTGGGTATATACCCAGTAATGGGATGGCTGGGTCAAATGGTATTTCTAGTTCTAGATCCCTGAGGAATCGCCACACTGACTTCCACAATGGTTGAACTAGTTTACAGTCCAATCAACAGTGTAAAAGTGTTCCTATTTCTCCACATCCTCTCCAGCACCTGTTGTTTCCTGACTTTTTAATGATTGCCATTCTAACTGGTGTGAGATGGTATCTCATTGTGCTTTTGATTTGCATTTCTCTGATGGCCAGTGGTGATGAGCATTTTTTCATGTGTTTTTTGGCTGCATAAATGTCTTCTTTTGAGAAGTGTCTGTTCATATCCTTTGCCCAGTTTTTGATGGGGTTGTTTGCTTTTTTCTTGTAAATTTGTTTGAGTTCATTGTAGATTCTGGATATCAGCCCTTTGTCAGATGAGTAGATTGCAAAAATTTTCTCCCATTCTGTAGGTTGTCTGTTCACTTTGATGGTAGTTTCTTTTGCTGTGCAGAAGCTCTTTAGTTTAATTAGATCCCATTTGTCAATTTTGGCTTTTGTTGCCATTGCTTTTGGTGTTTTAGACATGAAGTCCTTGCCCATGCCTATGTCCTGAATGGTATTGCCTAGGTTTTCTTCTAGGGTTTTTATGGTTTTAGGTCTAACATTTAAGTCTTTAATCCATCTTGAATTAATTTTTGTATAAGGTGTAAGGAAGGGATCCAGTTTCAGCTTTCTACATATGGCTAGCCAGTTTTCCCAGCACCATTTATTAAATAGGGAATCCTTTCCCCATTTCGTGTTTTTGTCAGGTTTGTCAAAGATCAGATAGTTGTAGATATGCAGCATTATTTCTGAGGGCTCTGTTCTGTTCCATTGGTCTATATCTCTGTTTTGGTACCAGTACCATGCTGTTTTGGTTACTGTAGCCTTGTAGTATAGTTTGAAGTCAGGTAGCATGATGCCTCCAGCTTTGTTCTTTTGGCTTAGGACTGACTTGGCAATGCAGGCTCTATTTTGGTTCCATATGAACTTTAAAGTAGTTTTTTCCAATTTTGTGAAGAAAGTCATTGGTAGCTTGCTGATAAGCAACTTCAGCAAAGTCTCAGGATACAAAATCAATGTACAAAAATCACAAGCATTCTTATACACCAATAACAGACAAACAGAGAGCCAAATCATGAGTGAACTCCCATTCACAATTGCTTCAAAGAGAATAAAATACCTAGGAATCCAACTTACAAGGGATGTGAAGGACCTCTTCAAGGAAAACTACAAACCACTCCTCAATGAAATAAAAGAGGATACAAACCAATGGAAGAACATTCCATGCTCATGGGTAGGAAGAATCAATATCGTGAAAATGGCCATACTGCCCAAGGTAATTTATAGATTCAATAAAGTCTGTTTTTAAAAAGGAGACAAAAAGGTAACCAATTATGATCCCAAATATATAAAATAAAACTTTTAGTATGAAAAAGTCACATTAAAATGCGCAAATGTGCTAAGAAATTTTTAGCAATAGGGTTTCAAATAAATTTCATATAAATTTCAATGATTCATAAGGCAAGAATCCAGCATATTGGAGTTGTGTGCATTTGTGTGCTTGTGTGTGTGTGTGTGTATGTGTAATATAAGGGGTATACTGAATGGCAAAATGACTAGTCATACAGAAATCTACAAATGCTGCCCAACTCAGACTCATTCCTCAAGAAGTACTGTGGAAAGCAAATTTAATGATAGTGCATTTTATTAAAAGGTTGTATTCAAAAAGTATTTATGTAATGTTAAAATAGCAGAATTAAAACTAATTCTAAAAAATAAGAGTAAATTTTTTTAATCAGCTAAAAAAGTAGGGTCATTATTGACATTACTATAAATGGGGTTACAGATCAACCTGCATGATTTTAAATCATGCGATACTTAAAAATTATTTCAGTTATTTGAATTATTTCAGATTATATACATAAAGTGTGACTTCATTAATATTTAATATCACATTATTTAAAATTTACAAAATTAGTGGGTCACAGAGGCTCGTGCCTGTGATCTTAACAGTTTGGAGGCCAATGGAGGAGGATTGCTTGAAGCCAGGAGTTCAACAGCTGCCTGGGCAACAAAACAAGACCCCATCTCTACAACATAAAAATAAATTAGCGCATGGTGGCGCGCCTGTAATCCCAGCTACTCTGGAGGCTGAGGCGAGAGGAGCGAACCCAGGAGTTCAGGGCTTCAGAGGGCTAGGATTGTGCCACTGTGCTCGCTCCAGCCTAGGCAACAGAGCAAGACCCCACCTCTAAAAATAAATAAATAAATAAATAAATTTTACAAAATTTTAAAAATCACATGAAATATTTCAGGTTTGTACTTGCCACAGACAAACTAGGGATTTGAAGAATTAAACATTTTATTTTACTTACAGTCTGTACTGGCACATAGTAAGTAGTCAGTAGGTGTTAACAATTAGTGTTATTGTTATTTTCTGGAGTCCAACTAACAAATCCCATAGCGAATGACACCACAGGGATGAAACCAACAAGATCCAGAATATGGGAACTTCCACTAGATAACTCAATTTTTTCAGCAACAATTCAAAGACAGACAGAGAGAGAGAAAGAAGAGAAGAGAAGAGAAGAGAAGGGAAGGGAAGAGAAGAGAAGCTATACATTTTTAAAAGGCTGAAGAAATATATGAACCATATTGATATGAGGCAATCAGAAAAATTGACACCGACTGTATTAAGGAAATAGCTAATTTTAGTGTGGTAATAGCATTGCTGTTATGTTTCTAAAAAGTCATTATACTTTAGATTTTCATAATAAAATAATTATGAATGAAGTATGGTATCTGAAAGTATCTTCAGAATAACCCAGTGTGCATGTATGATTAATTGGGTGGGTTTACAAAATTGCCCATGAATTGATCATTGTTAAAGCTTGGCTGTTAAAACATGGCACTCTTCTCTCTAACACTGTTGAAGTTTTCTGTAATACAAAGTTTTTTAAAAAATGCATTCCAGGAAAGTCCCATAAACATAGGCAGAGAAACATTCTGTTTGAAGTTATGTTAGTTTTTAGGCTTTTCTCATTTTTATCACAGTTGGGAAATCCTAAGTATCCAAATCCTGCCTAAGACTATAGGAACCTCTCAAAAATGCAACTCTAAAGAATGTGTATGCAAGAACTAATAATAGCAAAGGAAAGCAAAGTACTTTTTCCTTTATTATTGGCTGTACTAAGCCCCCAGACTTGTTTATATATTCCTTAATTCATCAAAACTGCAAAAATGGTCTTTGAGTACCATTATAGCAATAAGTACCATACTTTGTTATACGTATCATTAAAATAATGTGAAAAGAGATACATTCATTGTCTTCATAGAACTTACACTCTAGTGGGAAGAAATATACATATATTACATAATTCCACAAACATATAATTACAAACTCTGAATAATTTATAAAGGAAAAGAGAACAAGGTAAAGTGAGAGAGTGTTGCACAGGAACCAGGTATAATTTGGGGGAGATTAGAGGTGACTCGAAGAAGTGTATCTTGAGATGAAATAAGATGGTATACAGTAGGTAAGGGACAAGGTTGAGGCAGGCAGAGCAAATGTTTGAGAAACTCTTACAACACGAAAGAGAAGATGAGAATAAAATAACATGAAAATTATCACAGATTTAATATGGAAAGCTCATGTAACAGCAAACAAGTTTAAAGTCTTTCTAATTAGAATTCTTAATCTGTAAGAGTAATAATAGAATGCTATAAACAATTGGAAAATTTAATAGGAAGGTTGGAAAACTAAGTCAAGAAATATGAAAAGGCAAAAATTGTACCTACCACACATAGTTTTATTAGAAGTTGACTAAGGATATTACTTAGTAAAGTAAAACTGTTAATCAGGAAATGGGAAGGTAAAGAATCCAGAAAACTGAATTTAACCCAGGACCTCACTGAAAAGGGATCCTATTACAGCAGTTCCTTGGCAAGCAAAGAACGTCTGATACATGAGTGATATTTAGAAAATGATAAACTATTTTTTTCAATTTTTAGAATTAAGCTACGAGCAAAGCCCAAGTATGCTTATTGTTACAGCAGAATGTCAAAATTGTCAGCTTTGACAATATTGAAAAAAGGGTGCCTGTATCTCATTTTGGCAAGTGGAAGCATAAAGGGGAGGGGAAAGGAAGGGTATCAATGCCAATAACTTCATCTCCCAAGAAGCAGAAAAGAGAAATTGCCCATAGTTAAGGAAGAAATCACAAAGATCACTACATTTAAATTACATTTGTAACCAAAAGAATTATGTAAGATGGCTCATGAATTAAAGCAGGGTTTTAGAAATTGGACTATCATTCAGTCAAAAAGTCTTCATCCTAACCCCCAGGGAGTTCTGAAGCTGTAGGATCCCTTCAGATTTGGCTTCATTTAGGGAAAGGGTTTAGGACATTTATACCCCAACACTGACCAGTCATTATAGGTGGGTTCTTCCTGGGAAGTGGAGTAAAATCTGATGAGGTTGCTTTCATCACCTAAAGCAATTCTGGGGGATGACTGACAGCTAAGGGCTGTCAGCCAGCAACATTCCCAGCAGTGAGAGAATAAATCCTTCAGTCCCAAAGGGAGGAGTTTAGGTAGAACAGAACAGCATCCACAACAGAAACGGTGTTCTAGTTCCTGGGAATACGTATATATTCATGTAGAAGAAAACAAACAAACAAACAAAATATATATATAGTTTTATTTTGCAGTCTCGCTCTGTCACCCAGGCTGGAGTGAAATGGTGTGGTCTCGGTTCACTGCAACCTCCGCCTCCTGGGTTCGAGCAATTCTCCCACCTCAGCCTCCCAAATAGCTGGGACTACAGGAGAATGCCACCATGCCCGGCTAATTTTTGTATTTTTAGTAGAGACGGGGTTTCACTATGTTGGCCAGGTTTGTCTTGAACTCCTGACCTAGTGATCCGCCCACCTCGGCCTTCCAAAGTACTGGGATTACAGGTATGAGCCACGGCGCCCCACCCAAATAAATGTTTTTTTATAAATTCATTATCTATTTAAAAAATAAAAATAGAACTACCACATCATCCAGCAATTCCACTGCTGGGTACATCTGCAAAGAAAATGAAATCAGTGTATCAAAGAGGTATCTGTACTCCCATGTTCATCGCAGCACTACTCACAATGGCCAGGAGATGTTAACAACCTAAGTCTCAATCAGCAGATGAGTGTATAAGGAAACTGTGGTCCATATACACAATGGAATACTATTCAGCCTTGTAAAAGAAGGAAATCTTTTACATTTTTTACAACATGGATGAACCTGGAAGACATTATGTTAAGTGAAATAAGCCAGGCACAGAAAGACAAATACTGCATGACCTCACTTACCTGTGGAATCTAAAAAAGTCAAAATCATGGCAGGTCGGGGAGTGGGGGTAGCAGGGAGGGGGACAAGGAGGAATGAGAAGATGTTGGTCAAAAGGTACAAAGAAGGGCAGGGTGTGGTGGCTCATGCCTATAATCCCACCACTTTGGGAGGCTGAGGCAGGTAGATTGGTTGAGCACAGGAGTTCAAGACCAGCTGGGCAGCATGGTGAAACCCTATCTTTACAAAAAATACAAAAACTAGCCAGGCATGGTCACACATGCCAGTAGTCCCGGCTACTCCAGAGACTGAGGTGGGAGGATGGATTGAGCCCGGGAAGTGAAGGCTGCAGTGAGCTGTGATCGTACCACTGCACCCCAGCCAGACCTAGACCCCGTTTCAGAAAAAAAGTACAAAGTTTCAGTTAGGCAGGAGGAATAAGTACTGGAGATCGATCATACAGCATGGTGACTACGGTTAATAATAATGTACAGTCGTCCCTCGGCATCCACGAGGGATTTGTTCCAGTACCCTCTCTGTATACCAAAATCTGAGAATGCTCAGGTCCCTTATTAAAAATGTCTTAGTTTTTGCATATAAACTAAGCCTATCCTCCTGTATGCTTTAAATCATCTCCAGATTATACTTAGAATACCCAATGTAATGTAAATGCTATGAAAATAGTTGTTATACTGTATTGTTTTTGAATTGGAATTATTTTTATAGTTATATTGTTAGTTTTCATTTTTTTCTAAATATTTTCAACCCACAGTTGAATGAATGAGAGGATGTGAAACCCACAGATATAGAGGGCCAACTGTATTGTATATTTGAAAATTGCAGAGAGAGATTTTAAATATTCATACCACCAAAAAGTGAAGTGATGGATATGTTAATTAGCCTGGTTTAATCACATGTATCAAAAAAATCATACAGTACCCTGTAAATCCACAGTGATTTGTCAATTAAAAATAATTAATGAGTTCAAAATTCTTTTGAAGTGTAACATCCTTAACTTTTTCTTGTTCAAATAAAGTTTTCTTTTTATTTTTTTAATTGTTTTAAAAACTCATCTCTTAACTTCCATTAACTCAGTTGATTCACCCTATTAACTTAAGGACTCTCTTCTTCCTTAAGTTAAACATTTCATGATAATCAGGAAGGGCAAGGTTATGTTGCAATAAGATCTTAACCCACAGTAAAAAGTAGATCTTAACCCACAGTAAAAAGTAGATCTCAGTGGCTTAACTCAATAAGGAGACTTAATTCCACAGTTATTCAAATGACTCAGATTATGGAGTTTCCAGCATCTCATACACCACCATGCACCTACTTGCAAGTTCCATTGGTTACTGTTAGTCAAATGTCCCCAACCTAACAGCAGAAAAGACTGAGAAATGTACAGGAGCTTTGGAATACTGGCGAGCATCACTGTCTCCAAAAGTTATACTGTTATTATCTAAGGTAAGGACAAATGCTCAAGACCGGTAGGTTGTCCTCTAGAACACCCACACACTTTCCTCCAAGTTATATGCTGAGTAAGACTCAGTTCTTTGTGTTAGCAAACTTATTTATAGACGATGTACTTATTATTTTAATTAATTATCCATTAAAGATTATACTATCCAATGAAATCTGGGTGCAAAACATAGTTGTTTCTATGAAACTGTCAATGGAAGAAAGAGAAGACGATTTTGACCCTCTCGTTAATAAAGAATCTTCCAGCATGTGTGCTCAGTGTGACAATGTTGAACTGTAAGAATGTCCTAGAATATAATCTATCACCCACCCCGATTATAGGGCTTATGCTTCAACTAGAAAAATCAGATCTCGATGTTCCCCTAAACTTTGAGTCTTGTTCAATCCCTAGCCCTGCCTCTTCCCTTTGCAGGGTCAAAAGCCAGGAGCTACACACAGAGACTGAGGACACGCTGGACAACCCAGCACATGCCTTCCCCATTTCCCCAAAAGTGTTACTCCCTTTTGATCCCTATGGTGAATGACAGTGCCCAACCTGAGGAAGAGGACAAAATTGGCACAAAACTTTTGACTCCATTCAGAATTTTGCTTGGGGAAAATTCAGACCATAACCCTGGGGAGCAGAATCTCAAGTGTTGGTGCCTCTTTGTGCACCAGTGTCCCTGTCTGAGGACCTGCATGACAGCCTGGAGTACAAGAGATGAAGGTCCCAAGGAGACCTAGTTCTCCACTCTGACCTCATCCATAAGAAGGAAGAGCCTGCCAAAGACTCCTCACGCCCAGTGTGTGGGTGAGGGAGAAAGGAAGATGGGATGCCTGCTTTCAGGGTCATGGCCTTCCATAACCTCGCAGAAGCTCCCAGACTCTGTCTTCATGACGAAACTCAGAGACTGAGATGTAGACCAGCTTCAGGGCTGGGCCCACATCAAAGGGGCCACAGTGCGTAGTGACCTCCCTCATAACCGGGAAAAGAGTGTCATCAGGAATCAACAGGTTACAACGTCAATGACAAAGGGAGCTCAGACAAGGAGTGGAATGACTGTGAACAGGTACCCCCAATGAGGGACCCTAGAACCAGAGGGAGCTCTGCCATTTGTCCTGTGGGCTCCACAAGAAACAAACTGCCCCTTACACCCCTCCACTGTGAGGAGGCTGTGGAGGCTGAGGTGCTCCACATGGCTGGTGTAGACATCTGCACACTGGAAGTCATTTCCAGGACCACAAGGATCTGGAAAATCCAGTCCTCCTTCCTAATAAGAGGGATGGGCACAATGCTGGCTGTCAGCATCCCGTGCACAGGACAGTGTGTTTGAGAGGTGTGCATGTTACCCAGGCTTGGCCAATCAGAATCTTTCCTAAAGTTGTTAAAACTCTGGTAGACATTCTAGAAACATATATTAACAGAGACAGACAAACAGACACACACACACACACACACACACACACACACACACAGCAAGAGAGAGAGATGAGATAATATATGAAGTGATAAGGAAGAGAAATGCAGAAAAATAGATGCAAAAAGAAACATGGAGATAGAAAAAATGCAGATAAACAGTGACAATGGATTAGAAAAATAGAAAGAAAGGCAACAATGTAGTGAAAGACAACAAGGGCACAGAGACAAAGATGCAGAGAGACACGCAGAAAGAACTATACAGGGACAAAGAGATACAGAGAAAGAGAGGCAGATTCACAGATAGAGATACAACAGAAAGAGAGAGGTGAAGATCTCATTGTGTATCTGGAACTAGTCACTTCTGAAATCAACTTGACTCTAGGCTTCCTTTGCACCATGAACAAAATATATTTGGGTTTCTATCATTTAGAATCAAAAATAATACTTTTATTGCTGGTTATGCTTTCTTAAAAGTAAAAATTATTCTTGATTGATGTGACTTGCCAGAATGTTTGAAACACCAGTGACCAAGGGTCACTATATCTGCCCCCAAACAATTCCACCATGTTTACTTATATAGCACTCACCAAACCAGAAGAGAGGCTGGGATATTCTCAGGCCACTGCACTGAACATCAATATGAAAGAACCATGAATGATGCGACAACTGAGTTGATTTTCTACCTCCTCTGCCCACCATGACTTTGCACCCCAAATTCTTTCAGTGTCTTTTCAAGGTACAACCCTCCTTCTGGGCACAGGTTGGCTGGGTCACCTCAAGGTATGTTCCTTCATTCTGCAGTGATTTCCTGCCTCTGCTCAATTAAGGAAGTTGAGAATACAGATAACTCAGGATCATGTTTAATTATGTAAAAAAGCTCTAAAGTCAGGTAATGGTTTTCATGTGCTTCTCTTGAGCAGTCTGAGGAGAGAATAGAAACAGAAACCCCTTGGGGCCTGAGTAGACGCAGCTGGCCATGCACAGGCAGAGGCTCTGGGTCAGTGCAGGAAGCAGAGTCACAGCCAGCGCCTTGGGGTGGGGATGAAAGGAGATGACCTGGTGGCTGCGTGACAGCCACTGTAGGACTCTGATCTCAGGGGGACAGGCTGACACAGGCAGTTGGGAATTCTGGGCAGGGACAAGCAGGCGTTACAGAAAAGTGATAACCAATCCCAGTTAAAATAGTCTCAGGAGTCAGTGCAGGAGCCCTGGAGAAGAGAGAAGAGGGATGATCAGCACAGGGTACGCTGGTGGGCCTGCCATCTCCCCCACCCCTCAGGGGCCCCCTGCAGCTTCAGACAGACAAAGCTGAGGTCCAGAGTGTATTGTCATCACCTCCCCCAAGATCTGTGCAAAGGTGAAATCAGCTCATGAAGACACAGAACTTCAGCTTGATGCAGATGTGAGGGAGGTGGGGGAACAGCTGTTACTCTTCTGGGGAATATGAAGGGTTCGGTCTTTTTAGGAAATTGGATGATACCTCATCCCTACCACTAGCAGCCTCTTTCAGTCACTGGAAAATGCCTACAGGCAGTAGCCACCAACATGTGGCACAAAGTGGGCATCATCCTAGTGTCTAACATTTAAGCTGTGGTTCTGGCTTCACATTTCACAGGAAGATGCCACCAAAGTTAAGGCTTGGTTCTGGGGAACAGCCTCTGGAGATTCCTAGAAACTGGCAAACTTCGCCCCTAAGTCTTGATCCTCATAGCAGCAAATATACCATGAACGGAGACCACTGTGGTCAGGTACACTCAGCTCATGCTCTTCCCTCTTACATCTGTGCCCTCCCCACACTGGATCACGGCTGAAATATTACCTGCTGGTGGAGGCCCTTGAGGTCTTACAAAAGGAAGTTATGCAGAGAAAGGTCTCATTACACAAACAGCCACTCTCTCACCCCAATGGAAAATGACACATGTGACTTAATTAGAGTTATATTCTCTTCCCACCCATGTCCTTCAAGGCCTTAAGCACCCTAATTTAAAATCCCCTAAAACAAAGGAAATTGTCACTAGAAGGCAAGGAGGCCAAGGCTCTGACCCTCTTAATGGAGGAAGCTTTTGGAAAGGAGCCAATGAGACAATGATGAAAGGTAAGGATGTCCTTCAATAAGCTCTATCAGTGAGCTGTGTGACAGGGCTACCTTTCAACTAGTAAAATCAGATTCCAATGCCTCCTCCAATCTTGTCCTGTCTCCTCCCACCTCCAGCTCAGCTTTCTTCCTCTCGGGGTCAGGAGGAAAGAGCCACATCTAGAGACAGGACCTCTCTGAACAGAGGGTCTGGGTCACAGCCCATCTTCCCCTTTTCCCTTGGGGTTCCTCACCTTTCTGACTCCTGTGATGGATAATAAGGCCCAGCCCGAGGAAGATGAGCCCCAGCACGAAGCCTCCAATGCCACTCAGCATCTTGCTCTGGGCAGATTCAGACTGAGCCCCTAAGAAGCAGAGCCTGAGTGTCAGTGTTTGTCCCCACACCCCATAGCATCCCTGCTGAGGAGCTGAAGTCCAGTCTGAGATTCAGGAGGTGAAGGCGTCAAAGGAAACTAGTCCTCCATTCAGACCACCCCTAAGGGAGGGGAAAGGCCAGCCAATAGGTCCTTGGGTACAGTGAGTAGGTGAGAGAGTGGAGAAGCAGATCTCCACTCCTCAGGAGCTCATCCATAACCTTAAACCCTAAGATCCCAGTCACCAGCCCTAATGATCAGTCCCTCCGAGCTATCAGGACTGGGATCCAGAGAAACAGTATGTAGAGTAATTTCCCTAGCATCTGGAAAGGTGATGAGATCAGGATTCTTCTGATGCACTTGCCATGGAGGAAGAAGTGCTCTAGTCTCCTGTGATTCCCAGCTCAGTAGTGACATCAGGGATAAGAGATGGGAAGGGATGGGTCAGAATGAGCTCTGCCCTTTGTCTTGTGGGGCCCATAGTAACAGAAACTCAATATCCCCTTACGCCACTCCACGGTGATGGGGTTCTGGAGGCTGGGGTGCTCCACGTGGCAGGTGTAGACGTCTCCATGCTGGGGAGTCATTTCCAGCATCACCAGGATCTGGAAGGTCCAGTCACCGTTCCTAATAAGGGGGGTGGACACAACGCCGGTTGTCTCCTCCTGGTCATTCCGAAACCACCGGACTTTGATCTGGGCTGGATAGAAATCTGTCACTGAGCAGACCAGCAGGTTGTGGTGGTTGAGGGCCTCTGTCCTGGATGGGGAGATGGTCACTGTGGGCTCCACTGAGGGCAGTAACAGACAGGGAAAGATATAGGAGTGAGATGTGAGACCACACAGCACGCCTGCTGTGAGGAAGGTCCCTCCTTGGAACCAGAATGGAAAGATACCTGGAGCCCAAGTCTTGGATTAAGATTCATTCAACAAACATAAATATGACAATCACTGAGAATCCAAAGATAAACAACATACCATGGTCCCTGCCTTTACAGAATGTGCGATCTAGTAACAGACAGCAAAAAACAAAAAGAATGTGACTTCAAAAGTTTGTAATATTTGAAAAAAAAGTAGGCAGGCCTTGAAAACAAATAACACTGATCAAACATCATGTCTGCCCATAACTCGATTCCTTTATCTTCTCAGATTGCTGCTCATAGTAAAAAAAAAATGACACATCTTTCCCCGCCTCTTTTACACATCTCATCCTTTACCTTTCAGGCCACTTTATTGCATTTCCTTTATTCTCTTAGTGTAAAACTATAGTAAATATTTAATGTATGCTTTCTTTATTTAGTAATATGTTCTCTCATTTTCTTTTTTCCTTAATTTATTTTTAACACACAAGTGAGTTTAATTACTAGCTGTCTACCCTACTCCATTCCCTTGCTATTGAGAATTACTTTTTTGTCCTAAAATCAGATATTATCATGTATGTTCTCTGTAGAAAATATTCTGAGATCCTTGCAGAGGTCAGCCTAGGTTAATGAGCCTGTAATGCGAACATATACATATAGCTGGGATTTGCTGAGGACAGCAGGTGGCACCCCAATTAAATGGCACTCATGAGCCATCATCCGGAAGGAATCACGGTTTCTGCTTGGACTTGAACTTTTCTTTGGTTCTCCTTCCTGGAGTCCACCTGAAATCACAGTCAGCTATGTGGGGACTTACAAGATTTGTTCATCTTAAAAAGACTGAAAGTTTTCTTTGGTTCTCCTTCCTGGAGTCCACCTGAAATCACAGTCAGCTATGTGGTCTTATAAGATTTGTTCATCTTACACAGATTGGGAGTAAAAATAGAGGGCACAAATTTATGAGAAAAGATGATAAAATAAATTTTATGGAAATAGAACTGAAATAGCAAAAATATAAGTACTTGCCGGCACTATGATGTGAGTCAAAAGAAGGCAAGGGAGTATAAAGTAAACTGAAAGTTTTGTGAATCTCACTGGAGTCAGACTAGGGATTGATTAATCATAAATTTGATTGATTAATCATAAATTTTCAATGCCTTGAAAGTATCATTTTGTCCCATTAACATGGAGATCAAACAGGAAGAGACCATTGCTGCTTCTGGTCAAAACTGGCTTTAACAAGGCTTTATGTCCCTTTGACTCTACAGATGTGTAGTGAGGAACGTAAGAATGTTGTGTACTTTGGGAGGCTTAAGGTCTTGGTGAGTACTTGTGGGCTGATTACTTAAAGTGTTTATCATGTACTAATATTAGGATATATAAAGTGGTGATGCTAATCTCTAATGCACAGGCAACTGCGAGATTAAATGACATAACATAGATGGTATTTGATAAGGCAACTTAGAAATAAGTGCTCACTATATGGGTAAAATTAACTTTCAGAATGTTTATTCCTGAAGTGGATAGTGATGGGGGGAGGGGAGAACCTAGGCCAAAAGCAACCTGAAACTATTTTTATCCAATAATTTAATGGCTTCAATCTATTTATTCCAAAACTTCTGCTCTTTGCATTGTGCCATTTGTTCAGCTTTTCTAAGAAATTAAAACTGCCTTACAAACATCATTCAAGTGTTGTTTTTATTTTTAGCAAACACTTTTTTCCTCAGACTTTGTATTCACAAACTATTTAGATCCAAGTCAATAAGAGTTTACTTTAAAGAATTAAGCAAAATGATAGAAAATAATTAATAAAAGTCCATTTTTAAGGTTCTGTTTACCTCTGGTTTTTCTTGAGCCTAAGTGGATTGGCAGCTGAGCACATTTATTCATTAATTTAACAGAAGATTATTGAGCTTATACCACATGCCAGTCAATGTGTCAGGTACCGGCCATAAAATGATTAAAACACTCTCACCTCAAAGAGCTCCGCCATGAATGAGAGCCATTTAAGAAAACGGAATTACGATGAATAATAATTTGAAGCCAAAAGTCAAAATATCTTATTTCACAACTGTAATTGCTGGATGCCCTGCGCACAGTTGTGGAGCAGCCCTAACTCCACCAGGCCAAGCCTGAAGCTTCCTGCGGCGCGAGCAGTGCACGTGGACCTTGCTGGGTGGGGCAGTGCTAGCGGGGCGGGCGGGCAGGGGAAGAGGGCAGAAATTGGGGGCAGAGAGGACTGCTTAGCAAAGGCAAGGCACGAGGAGGCAAACGCATAAGGCACGAGGCGAGAACGTGCACAGCAGAGGGCGAGGCTGACGGACGGGAAGGCTGGGGCAAAACTAGGCAGTTTGACCAACTCTACCTGTACCCCTGCTCTGCCCCTAGGTCCCTGCCCCTCCTATGCACCTGCCCCACCACCCACGCCGCCAACTCCTGTCCCCTGGGGTGGAACGAACGCGGCTCAGGTTCCAGAGGCTTCGCCCCCCTCGTCCCTCCTAGCGCAGAGACTCGGGGCCCCGGCCAAGAGTGGGCCTCGCAGCGGGGCGACGACGCTCACCTCGCCGCTGCAAGGTCGTGCGGAGCTCCAACTGGTAGTTGTGTCTGCACACCGTGTCCAACTCCGCCCGGGTCCTCTCCAGGACTTCCTTCTGGCTGTTCCAGTACTCGGCGTCAGGCGGCCCCAGCGGCGTCACCGCCCGGTACACCTCCACGTCGCTGTCGAAGCGTGCGTACTCCTCTCGGTTATAGATGTATCTGGTCACATAACGCACGCGCTCCGTCCCGTTGGTGAAGTAGCACATGGCCTTAAACTGGTACACGAAATCCTCTGCGGGGAATCACCGGCCGGTCAGTCCGGCCCCGGCCCGGCCCCAGCCCGGCCACCCCGCAGCCGCCGCCCTGACCCGGCCCGGAGCTGTGGAACCGCCCGCGCGACCTCCAGTTCCCGCCGGCCCGTGCCTCGCGCTGCAGACCTGGGATCCTCCCGGGGGCTCTGCCCAGCCCTGCCCGCCCTCTCGGGGGTCTTCGGGAATCCGCCTTCCTACAGGCAGGAAAGGGAGGAAAGCCCTGTCCCTGTCTGGCTGGGCCTGTGAACCAAGCGAAGAGGCAGTCGGGTTGATTTTGCATGGACCTCTGCACTTAGAGGGATCAGGGCGTTCTCGCATGAAATCCCATTTTCCATGGAGCTCCTGGGTACCTCAGAGATAAAGTTATCCACATAAACCTGAGAGTTCAAGGGAATGACGAGACAGGTCCAGGAATTAAACCTGTCCTCTTTTGATATGCCTATTCTCTTGGTCCCTGGGTAAAATACCTTCCTTCCCATGCCTGGATTTACCCTCCCAAGTGCCCTGTGAGGTTCACTCACTTCTGTGTTAGAAAGAAGGGAGTCCTAGATCTCTGAGTCCTAGAAAGAAACGTTTATTCACTGAAAGAGCACAAGCTTTTGAATTTGATAAACTAGAATCCCATTAAACTGTGGCAGTCACCAGCTCGGGCAGGTTACGTAACAGAATATCCATGTCACAAGTATAATTGTGTAAAAGAAAATCATGATATCTACACACAGGATGTTAGAAGGAGTGAGAGAGAATTTATGTAAAGTATTGTTCTGTGTCTGAAATGAGTGGTTTCACAGTATGTGTAATTTCTCTTCTTTACATCCTCCTTTCTACTAAATTTAGTCCACCATCAACTCGGGTCTCTGAATCCCACTCAGGTCACCATTTGCCCATAAATCAGTGAAACCTGAAGACTCCCTGTCTGTGGTCAGCCAGTCAGCTTCCCTCAGTACCAAGATTTTGCCTCCACAAACGCTCCACTGAGTCAGGAATACAGACACCTTTTCCCCAAATACGGGGACTACAGACACCATTGCTGCCTTACATTTCCCAGTGCAGGATCTCATAATAGTTAGTCCAGGCAGTCTTGGGGCACGCCTAAATGACAAATCATGCTGTGTCTTTGGAGAAATTCATATCTTCAAAAATAACCCCATGCTCACTTTGTCCTATCACTGGTAGTAAATGAACACTTTGTCTCCTCTTTTCTCTCCTCTCTCCTCTTCCAGGCTTAAGTCTGTAGGATGGGATTGGATTGTCCTCACCTCATCATTAAAAGATAAATGGGAATGCAACATAGCTCTCTTTCCCAAAACAGAGGAAATATTGATAAAGATTGTGTCTGAGATAATCGAGATCACCATCCCCATACCCCAGCCCAAGGAGAGTCTGTTCCCAGAGTGGCGGCTCTGGAGAGCAGCTGCCCTGCACTTACCGGGAGAGTCTCTGCCCTCAGCCACTGGGGTGCTCAGCATCGCCAGCATCAAGGTAACAGTTGCTGCCCGAAGGCCTCCGGGGATCCGCAAAGCCTTTTTCCAAGACATAATTGAGACGAAGGGAAAAGTAGTGGTAGTCAACACAGCTCGGACCTGATGGATCTGATGTACCTGGCAGAAAGAATAAAAACCTGTGGATGTTTCCATGCGTGGTAGGATTGGATGGTCCCTTGGAAAGGAACCAATCAGCACTGGAGCTGAAGGACCTCATCTGTCTCTGGGCAGATTTTTTTTTGTGAAGGTTCTCAATCCAGTGCCTGGCACTGTGACGTCTTCCAATTGCACTGGATGAACATTTGAGGTGAAAATTTCCTCTCAATTATGGAAGAGCTGAAGACTGAATGCCTAAGGGATTTTAAGAAGCCAAAAAAAATGCGATTCAACAGTAAACATCTTTGTAATATTGATTAAAAACCAGTTGTTTTCATACTTGGGATTCTTTCAATAGGGCAAATTAAGTGGGGATCATATTTCAGGGGAGAGAAAATTGCTGTCATAGACATTTTTACTGCTGTTGTCTTAGACACACTTTGAGGAGCCTTAAGTTTTGGTGAAAAAAGCAAGGTTCTTAGAAGGAAATAATGGTGAGTTGCAGTTCCACCACTAATGTGCTTTAGGAGAGTCAACAAATTACTGAATTTATTTTTGCCCCAGGCCTCTCTTTGCAAAATGTGGATCATGTTTCATGCATTTTACATCTAGATCTTCACGTATACAAATTTAAGATTAATATGACTTGTTTAATGTTACAAAAGGATCCTCAACTGTTATGTGTAACTATCAGGTTAATATGTGGAACAAGAAAACAAGCCAAAAAAAAATTGACACCCATCCCTGCTGGTAAATGATTCTTCATTATGCAAGAATATATTGTATTTATACTCTTCGAGTGAAAGTATTTGAAAAGTTAATTAAGTTGACATTCCTTTTCTAAGTTCTTCAGCTGTTTAAATCCTCCCTGAACCATGAAATAGGTGCATCTGATATCAGCAAAGGCACAATACACAAACCTTTACAGTATTCAGACATAGTCATGTCTAGATTTGAGGAGAGAGAGCAAAAGCTGTGGAGAAGCATTTCCTAGGTCCTGAATAGTATTAATGATGGAGAAAATGTTTAGAGTCACAGATTGTACTGTGCCAGCCCTAAACATCAAATCCCAAATGGCAGAGGTATCAATGTGGTTTTTTTCAATTCTATGTATTTTTTATTTAACAGTTCCTCATGGACATATCTACATCAATGTGTTTTTATAAATAAGCATAACTTATCAAGCTCCTCTTGGCAGTGACTAGGGGCAGTACTAATGGTTATAAAGCAATTAGAACAATGCCTGGCAAACATTACTTCTGACCCCAACCAAGACAATAAATATCTCCACCTCTCTTCTTCTCTCCCTTTCTCTCTTTCTTTTCCCAAAATTTTAGGTTCTGCTTTTAAAGTAGAGAATACAATCTAAAATCAGAATATAAGTTTACCAGGTAAAAAGAGCAGGGAAGAGGCAACAGCAAGAGGTTTGCAATAGTGGCACATGAAAGCGTTGAGCCACTCCAATATTCTGTATTATTCACAGCATAATTCTAGAGCACCTGAGACTGGGAAAGTTGCCACTGGGCGTCCAGCAGCAGTGGTTTACTCAGGATCAGGGTAAACCCAGCCTAAGGAGGGTCTCCACTGCTGTGATGGACACATAAAGGAGGAACCATACTCACACCTGGAATGGAGTTGGGGCAAGGAAGAGTAGGCAGAGAGACCTGAAGCTGCCCTCAATGTCCTTCCTCAGCCCCCACCTCAGTGTCCCTCAGAATAGAGGCCTCTAATCCATCCTTTCCTTCCTGTCTAAGGGAAAAACTTCCCACAGGTTTATTCTGAGGCAACTGCTACGCCAGACCTGGGGATTCCTCAGTCTCACAGGCCTCTTCGCACAGACTTTTCAGCTAGCAACAAGTGTCACTTTAGAGCCTTTTTCTGATTGGCTAAAACCTCACTGGAAAGGTTTTGCTTTGGGCTTCTGCCAGTTGTGTCTGCCTGGCCCAGCCTTCTGTACAGTTGACTACCCTGGCCCTATCCCTGCTGCATTATTCAGGGCATTCAGGCAGAAGAAGGCCAGAGAAGAAAGAAACTAGGTCAAGCATCCTTATTCCGAGTGTCTCACCTGAATCACCTGCCCAGCCTCTGTGGGGGCCGAGCAATTAGAGCATTTACCCCATGTGGGTAAATGGGCTAAAAAGACACTGCCATTAGTAGGGACGGTCAGGGTTACAGTAGGGAGACTCAATTCAAGGGACATTCTCTCTTCCTTCAGGGCAGAAGAAAAAGTCGTGGACTCCTTCTTTGTGAAAATCAAGGGAGAAATCATCTTCCCTAGTCAGCATCTCTTGGAATCTGTGCTTGGTCAGTGGAATTGAATGTGAACATAGGAGCCACCCTGTCACCAGAAGGACCATCCAAGACCTTACCCTGCATTTACTTCAGGAATCAAGAATCACTGTATATTCTGAAAGGTTCTGTGGCCTCCTTAATGCCAATGGTAATATAACTAGAAATGCTGCTCCCAGAATATTGTTTTCCTTTAATTAAAATTTATCAAGCAATTATCCCTAAATTTTTCAAAATCTTTGTGAAGCCACTTAAATATTTCTTTTATATCAACTTCTAGGTTACCAGTTATATATAACAATTTTTTGTGGCACATATAAACTAGGTCCTTTCTCTTGGCACAAAGTTATCTCTTTAAAATCTCAGTCTAGAGAATCTGAAGAAAGCGCCAAATCAGTAGCATTCAGGGGCTATGTTCAGACAGTGGCTACCACAAGCAAGTGGCCATGATGAAACTCCAGGGTGGAAGTCACGTAAGAATTGGAGGAGGATGGAGGGTGAAGGAGCAGGAGTATGGGAAAAGCTTTAGCAGGAAGATAGAAAATCAGGTGACACAAGACATTTGGAACATTTGAGGGGAAATGAGGAACGTGGGTGATCTTGGCAAGGAAGCCCAGATCTCACTAGTCCCATGACTCCTCATGCTGTATGAAAATAGCCCTTGAAGACAGAAGACTGGAACGAAAACCAAGCTGCCTGCAGTGGATATGCTGTACAATGAAGCTTTGTTTCCTGATCTATATTTTCAGGTTCCTTCCTCCTGTCAATCTCCTCATCCACGCATCGCCTCAGTTGGACCACTGGTGATTAAACCACCGGGAGCTAACCTACACATGTCACTCTTTCCAACACACCTCTGCTTGTCTCTACTTCTGGTTCCGTAGTGATGCCTGGGATATTTCCAGAGACAGCTCTTCCCCCAGCCTCTAGATTAGTAGTCACCATGCTCCTTCATTCCCAGAAAAAACTTAAATATTTCTCTGTGAGATCTTTATAATGTCTCCTTTTTCTGTAAGTTCTTACCAGTAAAGAGAGGCTCTAATATTCAGCCACATAAAAATATATATAGTTCTTGAGTACTTAAACCCATATCCAAGTACTCAAAAACTTGTATGTCCAAAAACTCAGCTCAAGGCCATGGTTCATGCAAAACAGCAACATTAGCAGTAATATTCTGGGGAGAGTACTCTTACATCCTCCAATAGGAAAACTTAAGATATTCCATTTAAACCACAATGACATATCACCTCACATCTGTCAGAATGGCTATTATCAAAAAGACAAAAGATAACAAGTGTTAAGGATGTAGACAAAAGGAAACATTTGTACGCTGTTGGTGGGAATGTAAATTAGTACAACCATTATGGAAAACAATATGGAAATTCCTCAAAAAGTTAAAAATAGAACTATCATATGATGTAGTAACCCCATTTACAGGATTTAGACAAAGAATTTAAAATTAATATGTTGAAAATATACCTATACTCCTATGTTCCTTGCAGCATTATTCACAATAGTCAAGGTATAGAATCAACCTGTGTCATTCAGCAGATGAATAGATAAAGAAAATGTGGTATGTATACACAATTAAATCCTATTCAGACTTTAAAAAGAAGGAAATCCTGTTGTAAGTCAGAAAGTGACTGAGGTAGGTCTCAATCAATTAAAGGTTTATTTTGTCATGGTTGAGGAATACACCTGGGAAAAACACAAATCACAGGAGCATCTGTGATCCATGCTTTTGCCAAAGAGGGTTTTGAGAACTTCAGTATTTAAAGGAGAAAGAGCAAGCAGGAGGGGAAGGAGAAAAAAAAGGAGGAAGAGTAGGCCATGACACAAATGGTTACATTCCTGAGTCTTTGATTAGCCTCAGTAAATCTACATTTTACTTGTGAAAAGAGAGTAGAGGAAAAAGTTGATTATAAATTATCTTATGCTCAGTAAATCTACATTTTACATAAAATTAAGTAATGAAAAGAGGGAAGGAGTAGAGGAAATGAGGTTATGACACAGGGTTGTGAAATTACCATTATCGGTTTGGAAACAAAAGGAAGACAGTATTGGTGCCTCAGCCCTCAAGATTAACTGTTTTTCTTTCTTTTTTTTTTTCTTTTTTTTTATTATTATACTTTAAGTTTTAGGGTACATGTGCACAACGTGCAGGTTAGTTACATATGTATACATGTGCCATGTTGGTGTGCTGCACCCAGTAACTCATCATTTAACATTAGGTATATCTCCAAATGCTATCCCTCTCCCCTCCCCACACCCCACAACAGGCCCCGGTGTGTGATGTTCCCCTTCCTGTGTCCATGTGTTCTCATTGTTCAATTCCCAACTATGAGTGAGAACATCATTCTTAGCAAACTATCACAAGGACAAAAAACTATTTTTCTTTCACACTGTTATTTGTGACAACGTGCATGAACCTAGAGGCCATTATGCTAAGTGAAATAAGCCAGACAAGGAAAGACAAGTAATGCATGATCTTACTTATATGAGGAATCTAAAAAATCCCATTTTTGAATTGAATTGTTTCTTTATTTTATTTTATTTTGTTTTATGTTCTAGCGTACATGTGTAGGACATGCAGGTTTGTTACATGGGTAAACGTGTGGCATGGCGGTTTGCTGCACCTATCAACCCATTACCTAGGTATCAAGCCCAGCATGCATGAGCTATTTATCCTGATGTTCTCCCTGCCCCGGCCCCTGCCCCTCACAGGCCCCAGTGTGTGATGTTCCCCTCCCTGTGTCCATGTGTTCTCATTGTTCAGCTCCCACTTATTAGTGAGAACATGCAGTATTTGGTTTTCTGTTCCTGCATTAGTTTGCTGAGGACAATGGCTTCCAGCTCCATCCATGTCCCTGAAATGGACATTATCTCATTCCTTTTTATGGCTGCATAGTATTCCATGTTGTGTATGTACCATATTTTCTTTGTCCAGTCTATCACTGATGGACATTTGGGTTGATTCCATGCCTTTGTTATTGTGAATAGTGCTTAAATAAACATACACATGTGTGTATCTTTATAATAGAATGATTTATATTCCTTTGGGTATATACCCAATGATATGGTTTGGCTGTGTCCCCACCCAAATTTCAACTTGAATTGTATCTCCCAGAATTCCCATGTGTTGTGGGAGGGACCCAGGGGGAGGTAATTGGATCATGGGGCCAGTCTTTCCCATGCTATTCTCATAATCGTGAATAAGCCTCACAATATCTGATGGGTTTAGGAGGGGTTTCTGCTTTTGTTTCTTCCTCATTTTCTCTTGCTGCAGCCATGTAAGACATGCCTTTCACCTCCCACTATGATTCTGAGGCCTCCCAAGTCATGTGGAACTAAGTCCAATTAAACCTCTTATTCTTCCCAGTCTCCAGTATGTCTTTATCAGCAGTGTGAAAATAAACTCATATAGTAAATTGCTTCCAGGAGTGGGGTGTTGTTGAAAAGATACCCAAAAATGTGGAAGCAACTTTGGACTGGGTAACAGACAGAGGTTGGAACAGTTTGGAGGGCTCCAAAGAAGACAGGAAAATGTGGGAAAGTTTGGAACCTCCTAGAGATTTGTTGAATAGCTTTGACAAAAATGCTGATAGTGATATGAACAATAAGGTCCAGGCTGAGGTGGTCTCAGATGGAGATGAGAAACTTGTTGGGAACTGGAGCGAAGGTGACTCTTGTTATGTTTTAGCAAAGAGACTGGTGGCATTTTGCCCCTGCCCTAGAGATTTGTGGAACTTTGAACTTGAGAGAGATGATTTAGGGTATCTGGCAGAAGAAATTTCTAAGCAGCAAAACATTCACGAGGTGACTTAGGTACTGTTAAAAGCATTCTGTTTTAAAAGGGAAACAGAGCATAACAGTTCAGAAAAACTGCAGTCTAGTGATGCAGTAGAAAAGAAAAATCCATTTTTTAGGAAAAATTCAAACCAGCTGCAGAAATCTGCGTAAGTAGCAAGGAGCCTAATATGAATCCCCAAGACCATGGGAAAATGTCTCCAGGCCATGTCAGAGACCTTCACAGCAGCCCCTCCCATCACAGAACCAGAGGCCCAAGAGGAAAAAGTGGTTTTGTGGACCAGGCTCAGGGTCCCTGTGCTGTGTGCAGCCTAGGGACTTGGTGCCCTGTGTTCCAGCTGTTCCAGCCATGGCTGAAAGAGGCCAATGTACAGCTCAGGCTGTGGCTTCAGAGGGTGGAAGCCCCAAGCCTTGGCAGCTTCCATGTGGTGTTGAGCCTCTGGGTGCACAGAAGTCAAGAATTGAGGTTTGGAAACCTCCACCTAGATTTCAGAAGATGTAGGGAAATGCCCAAATGCCCAGGCAAAAGTTTGCTTCAGGGGCAGGGACCTCATGGAGAACCTCTGCTAGGGCAGTGTGGAAGGGAAATGTGGGGTCATAGCCCCCACACAGAGACCCTACTGAGGCACGGCCTAGTGGAGCTGTGAGAAGAGGGCCACCATCCTCCAGACCCCAGAATGGTAGCTCCACTGACAGCTTGCACTGTGGGCCTGGAAAAACCACAGACACTCAGAGCCAGCCCCTGAAAGCAGCCAGGAGGGAGGCTGTGCCCTGCACAGCCACAGAGGCAGAGCTGCCCAAGACCATGGGAACCCACCTCTTCTATTGGCATGACCTGGATGTGAGACCTGGAGTTAAAGGAGATCATTTTGGAGCTTTAAAATTTGACTGCGGCTGGGCGCGGTGGCTCATGCCTGTAATCCCAGCACTTTCGGAGACTGAGGTGGGTGGATCACAAGGTCTGGAGATTGAGACCATCCTGGCTAACACGGTGAAACCCCGTCTCTACTAAAAATACAAAAAAGTTAGTCGGGTGTGGTGGCGGGTTCCTGTAGTCCCAGCTACTCAGGAGGCTGAGGCAGGAGAATGGCATGAACCCGGGAGGTGGAGCTGCAGTGAGCAGAGATCATGCCACTGCACTCCAGCCTGGACAACAGAGCGAGACTCCGTCTCAAATAAATAAATAAATAAAAATTAAAAAAAATAATAAAATAAAACAATTTGACTGCCCCGCTGGATTTCAGGCTTGCATGGGCCCTGTAACCCCTTTGTTTTGGCCAATTTCTCCCATTGGAATGGCTGTATTTACCCAATACCCGTACCCCCATTGTATCTAAAAAGTAACTAGCTTGCATTCGATTTTACAGGCTCATAAATGGATGGGATTTGCCTTGTCTCAGATTAGACTTTGGACTATGGACTTTTGGGTTAATGCTGAAATGAGTTAAGACTTTGGGGAACTGTTGGGAAGGCATGATTGGTTTTGAAATGTGAGGAAATGAGATTTGGAGGGGCCAGGGGAAGAATAATATAGTTTGTCTGTGTCCCCACCCAAATCTCAACCTGAATTGTATCTCCCAGAAATCCCACGTGTTGTGGGAGGGACCCAGGAGGAGGTAATTGAATCATGGGGGCCGGTCCTTCCTGTGCTATTCTCATGACAGTGGATAAGTCTCACAAGATCTGATGGGTTTATCAGGGGTTTTTGCTTTTGCTTCTTCCTCATTTTCTCCTGCCACTGCCTTGTAAGAAGTGCCTGTTGCCTCCCACCACGATTCTGAGGCCTCCCCAGTCATGTGGAACTGTAAGTCCAATTACACCTCTTTTTCTTCCCAGTCTTGGTAATGTCTTCATCAGCAGCATGAAAACGAACTAATACACTCAGTAATGGAATTGTTGGGTCAAATGGTATTTCTGGTTCTAGGTCTGTGAAGAATTGCCACACTGTCTTCCACAATGGTTGAACTAATTTACATTCCCCCCAACAGTGTAAAAGTGTTTCTTTTTCTCTGAAGCCTCGACAGCATCTGTTGTTTCTTGAGTTTTTAATAATCACCATATTGACTGGCATGAGATGGTATCTCATTGTGATTTTAATTTGCATTTCTCTAATGATCTGTGATGTTAAGCTTTTTGCATATGTTTGTTTGCTACATAAATGTCTTCTTTTGAGAAGTGTCTGTTAATGTCCTTTGCTCACTTTTTAATGTTTTTTGTTTCTTGCAAATTTGTTTAAGTTCCTTGTAGACTCTGGATACTAGACCTTTTTAAGATGGATAGGTTACAAAATTTTTCTCACATTCTGTGTGTTGCCTGCTCACTCTGAAAATAGTTTATTTTGCTGTCTGGAAGCTCTTTAGTTTAATTAGATCCCATTTGTCAGTATTTGCTTTTGTTGCAATTGCTTTTGATGTTTTTGTCATGAAGTCTTTGCCCATGTCTATGTCCTGAATGGTGTTGCCTAGATTTTCTTCTAGGGTTTTTATAGTTTTAGGTTTTACATTTAAGTCTTTAATCCATCTTGAGTTAATTTTTGTATAAGGTGTAAGGAAGGGGTCCAGTTTCAACTTTATGCATATGGCTAGGCAGTTCTCCCAGCACCATTTATTAAATAGGGAATCCTTTCCCCATTGCTTGTTTTAATCAGGATTTTTGAAGATCAGATGGTTGTAGATGTGTGGTCTTACTTCTGAGTTCTGTGTTCTGTTTCATTGGTCTGTTTTTGTACCAGTACCATGCTGTTTTGGTTACTTCAGCCTTGTAGTATAGTTTGAAGTCAGGTAGCATGATGTCTCCAACTTTGATTTCCCTGGTGGGGTAGCACAATCATTCACCACCTCCCTTGGCTAGGGGTGGAAGTTCCCTTACCCCTTGCGACTTCCGGGTGGGCTGTTGCTCCACCCTGCTTTTCTTCACTCTCCGTGGGTTGTGCCAACTGCCTAGTCAATACCAGTGAGAAAACCTGGATACCTCAGTGGAAGGTACAGGGTTCACTCACTGTTTCCATTCTCCTTAGTGGGAGCCACAGACCAGAGCTACTTCTAATCAGCATTCTTGGCCCTTCCCTTGTTTTTTTTATTGTTGAGTTTTAGAAGTTCTTTACAAATCCTGGATTTTTTTTAAGAGACAGTGTCTTTCTATCTTGCCTACTTGCCTAGGCTGGTCTTGAACTCCTGGGCCTAAGTAATGCTCCTGCCTTAGCCTACCAAGTAGCTGGGATTACAGGTATGAGGCACCGTGCCTGACCATATTTTGGATATTGATCTCTTATGAGATATGCTATTTGTCAATATCTTCTTTCATTCTGTTGATTACCATGTTTACTCTATTGACACTGTCCTTTCGTGCACAGAAGTTTTAAAGTTTTTATGTCACATTTATTAAAGAGAAAGTTCAAGACATGATATAGAAGAGTAATAGGAACATGTTTGTCCATATAGTTGCCATTCAACTAAATTAATTGATTTCTGTAATGTGCCATTTGGGACAAAAGCAATAACATTGTAGAATCTTTCCAAGAGTTTCACTTTCTATTTTCAAAGACCAACAATTCAACCCAAGTGAATTACTGCAAAAGCATCCTGACTGGTCTCCTTGCCTCTACTTTATAATGCAGACATTGCTCATAAATCCAAGTTAATCTCTCTGAGTGTTAGTTCCTTCAACTGCAAAATGAGAATATTTATTCCATGGAGTAATGCTGAGGATTAAATGAAATGGCAAATATAAAGCACCAAAAATAGTGTTGAACACATAGTAGATAATAATAATAATTTTAAAATATTTTTAATATTTTTTATATAAATAGTTTTTGAGGTACAAATGACTTTTTGTTACATGGATAAATTGTATAGTTGTGAAACCTGAGATTTTAGTGCACCTGTCACCCAAGTAGCATAAATTGTACTCAATATGTAGTTTTTTATCCTTCACCCCCATCCCATCCTCCCCTCTTCTGAGTCTCCAGTGTCCATTTTACCACTCTGCATGCCTTTGTGTACCCATAGCCTAGCTCCCACTTGTAAGTGAGAACATACGGCATTTGTTTTTCCTTTCCTGAGTTAGAAGTTTTAAATTTTGATGAAGTCCAATTTATCTATATTTTCTTTTCTTTTCTATGTCTTTGGTGTTATGTCCAGGAAATCATAGCCTAATCAAATGTCATGAAGATTTTCCTTTATGTTTTTTTCTAATAGTTTGATAGTTTTAAGTTTTACATTTAGGTCTTTGATTCATTTTGAGTTCATTTTGTCTATGATCTAAGGTAAGAATCCAATTTCATTCTTTTGTGTGTGGACTTCAGTTTTCCCAGCACCATTGTTGAAAAGGCTGTCCTTTCCTCAATTAATGGCCTTTACACCCTTGTTGAAAATCGCTTGACAATATATGTCAGGGTAATTTCCTGGTTTTGATATTGTACTTTAGTTATATAAGATGTGACAATTGGGGAAAACTGGATGAAGGGTATAGAGAATCTTTCTGTACTATCTTGGTAACTTCCTCCGAATCTATAATTATTTCAAAATACAACATTGAAAAATAAAGTCAACCAAAATAATATGTTTATTTAAAAAGAAAACCAATTCAATAAGGTACCTAATAAAAATTTTCCAAAGTGAAATACAAAGAGAAAAGAAGAGTGGGGAATAAAAACAAAACAGAGCATCCACAAGCTGTAGTACCGTATCGAATGATACTATATTTTTGCCTGAAAAGTGTTAAACACTTATTTATTTATCTATTTTTAAACAAGGTCTCACTCTGTTGCCCAGACTGGAGTGCAGTGGTGCAGTCACGGCTCACTGCAGCCTTGACCTCCTGGGCTTAAGTGATCCTCCCGCCTCATCCTCTCGAGTAGCTGGGACTACACGTTTATACCACCACACTCAGTTAATTTTTGTATGTTTTGTAGAGATGATGTCTCCCCATGTTACCCAGACTGGTCTCAAACTCCTGGGCTCAAGCAATCCTCCAGCCCTGGCCTCCCAAACTGTTGGGATTGCCACACTTGACCTATTTTTTAAATTTACTTTTACTGTTTGTTTCTCTTTGTGTTTCACACTGAATAATTTTTATTGATCTATTTCAAATTCATTGATTCTTCCCAGGGCTGTGTCAAGTTTGCTGATGAGTTTGTCAAATGTATTTTTTATTTTTGTTAATGTATTTTTATTTTATTTCAATTTTATTCTTTCTCAGATTTTCCATCTCTGCCGAAATTACCTATCTAATCTAGCATGTTGTCCACTTTTCCGTAAGAGATTTTAGTATATTAATCACAGTTTATGAAGCAGGTTTACTAATTACCAATCCCAAAGGAGGACCCCCACTGTGTGGAGAATAGCAAAGATCACTACTATGCCAACCACTAGGAAAAGAAGTCCAGATACTTCTTTCCACTGCATCCTGAGCTACTGTTTAGGTCCACCATGCACTGGTTACCTATTATCTGAGTCTGATGAAATAGAACATGCCCACACACAAGTTATGTGAAGCAGGTTTATTACTTAGAGATCAGTAGCAAGGGACAGAAGAAGCCTCAGCTCCATTGTGAGTCAGTCCCCTAAGGCTCAAGAAAGCTGTCTGGGACATACAAAGTATTGACGACACCAATTATTATATCATGATCTAAAGTGTAAGTCACAAGTCAAATTCTTGATCACTTCATTCATATTACATGTTCCAGATTATAACCCCACTGGAAAACTTCTCTAACAGTAATTTTGCAGGAACTCATGTGTTCTAAAACTACAACCTAGTGTGCATTTCTTCCTGCTAGACACTTAACACACTGTGACCATGTGACTTAAATTGTCCATATGATGCTGAGAGTTATAAGATTCATAGAATCATAAGTTTGGGCATACCAACCACAATCCATCATGCAATTGAAGTAGTAAATTTGAAACTAGACTGCAGCAGGTTTAAAAACTAGTTGGTGGTTCTGGTTTGGTGATAGAGACTACAATCCCAGAAGGATTTATGCTCTTGTTTATATTCTCCTTGATGGATTATAATTGTTTCAGTGTCTACTGTATTTTCATCTAATTTGGTCTTGAAGTCTCCCTCATGAGAACAGCTATAAACTAGTTTTGCTGTGCTGGAGCTCTAGGGAATTTGGGTGTGGAGTTTACAATGTACCTTCATGGGATGCTTCTTTATTCTGGAAGATGGTCTAATGCCTAAGTGTCTGACCTGTAACCAAGTGCCCCTCTCACAGGAAACTTGTTTATACTAGAAGACATTTTTGTGGCTCAGCCTGACCTGTGTCCAGTTTATTCCTGCCAAAATTTCACTCTCTGGGACAGCTCTGTCTGGGAAAGAAGTTAAATTTGAATGTGTCAGTTAGGTAAGACAGAAAGAAGACAATTCAACAAACCACATGATTCAAAATTCCAAAATTCATATATTAAAACCTAACCCTATTGTCCCCAATGTGATCATTTTAAGAGATGATTAAGTCATGAGGACATGACCCTCAAAGATGGGATTAGGGCCCTTATAAAAGGACTCAAGGTTGAAGGGAGTGCTTCCTTTCCCTTCCACCTTCCACCATGTGGTTCACTTTCCGCCATGTGAAGACGCTGCAAGATGGCCCTTACTAGATGCCAGTACCTTGATCTTGGACTTTCCAGCCTCCAGGATTGTGAGAAAATAAAATTATGATCTTTGTAATTTATCCAGTCTGTGGTGTTTTGTTATAGCAACACAAACAGTCAAAGACAACATCCTAGAGGGCAGTGTCTTCCAGCCAGCACCATTCAATTATTCTTCTGGACTGCTACATCTAGGTAATGGGGTATATATCATTATCCCATTGCTACATCTTCTTTGTTACTAAATGGGTTTTGTAGTTTTGAGCAATATTAAACATAGAATCCCATGAGTGTTTGAATGGCAGTGGTTTTGGAGGCAATGTGGGTGAGACTAGCAAATCCATATCCAAAGTGTATACTAATTCCAGAAAGAATAAATCACTTCCCCTCCAAGGTGGAAGGTTTTGATACAGTCAACCTGACACCAGTTGGCTGGCTGATCTCCTCAAGTAATGGGGCCATATGGTGAATTCAGTGTCATCCTCTACTGCTGGCAGGATGGCAGCAATACTATTAAGAAGATAATCCTTGTTGACTCTTGACTGTAGTCCTGGTTGTTGAGCCCATGCATATTTCTTTTCCCTTCATTAGAGAAGGACTACAGTTGATAGCCATTCTCATGAGAGATGCCTCAGGAACAAATTAGAGGAAATACAATGATAATCTTTTAGTACTTTTATGCACGGTAATGACTATCAGTAGACACTAAAACAATCATAATTCAGCAAGGACAGGGTAAATAACAGTATAGACCCTTCTGGAATAGTTGTCTCTGTCACCCAAAAACAAAAAAACAAACTATACTAAATTCAGAGCATAAGGGGAATCAGGAGCGGCTTGTGACAGAGGGAGATGAATATTAGTTACAGCCATAATGACAACATAGTGGACACTGTAGCAAATTTCACTAACCATCTTGCCTTAATCTTCTAGATCACAATTGGCCACTCTTTCTGACCTCCCTATTTGAAGAAAAAATAAAGTATGTTAATTTTCACAGGAAAAAAAAAAGAGAGGCACCATATTGGAGTATGGCAACTTGGATCCCAGAATCACCAACTGGAGAAGAGCTACTCACAAATCATCGGTCTCTTCCTACTGTTACATTAGTGAGTTATAAACTTCTACGGTATTTCAGCCGTCATACACTTTCAAGCCTAGTTATTGTAGCAGTCTCACCTATTCTAATTAATATAAAAAGGAGAAATAATAATTGTAGAAAAAATTAAACGGAGAATATAAAAATTTTAATGGTTTCTCCTGAGCTAGACTTACTTGAAACGGTCCTCATTTTTTGTTTTAGTATTACCAGAGATGTAAGACAGAATCTCACGAAAATATTTAAGGTGGTGGATGAGGCCAAATTAGGCAACTAGGTTGTGTGTCTGGAATTCAAACCGTATTAAGTCCTCCCTGCCCGCCTTTCTCCTATCCTTTAGAGCAGAGCCTGATTCTCACATATTGTCCCATAAGTCTATATCAATCAAATCAATTCTTATTATCCTGAAAGTGCCTATGGAAACACTACCTTTTTTAAAGTTAAATATGAGCACTCTGCTCCATGCTGTTTTACTGATATTTAGAACTGTACAAACTTATATTCTTTACATTTGTGGGAAATTATTATATTGTAGATGAGCCTAAAATATTCTGTGAATCAAAACTTACTGTAACAAGTTGTAAAGAACAGCTTTAGTTGAAAGTGAATACATGAAACTAGCAGCCCAAACACTCAAAGCAAGAAGAATAATAACTAAGTGACCACAAAGGAAAATTTTTTTAATCACATGCCTGGCTCTTGAAGGTGGAGAAGGTTGTCTTGCTCAAAGGAAGTGGTTACTAGACCAGAGTGTAACCAAATACGGGATGCTGCTTTAAAAAAAAAAAGATTCACAAAAGTTGTGATTAAGTTAAACCACTAAGTACTTTCCTCTCCAGCCAATGAGAAGAAGTGAAGCAACATCATTTGTCTCTGGCAGACTAAGCCAGTAAGTCTGTTACAGAAAAAAAAATTACTTAAAAGAGCAATAAACATAGAAAATATCAAAGCAGTCTACTAGTCATGTGTGCAATACACAGAAAAGAATAGAAATTTACTTAAGGAGAGAAAAGTTTGATAAATAAAAGTATCACATTCTTGAACAAGACAATTTGTGTCAGTTTTCCAAAGTGCATAGACTTTGTGATGCTTTAATCTAAATATCAATAAGATAGTTTTGTTAACAAAATGTTTCTAATTTTTTTCAAGAGTAATAAATATATAAAATAGCTATTGATAAAAATCAGGGGGAGTTGCTCTAGTAGATGCTTACAAATAATTATAAAGCTAAACAATTAAAACATGTTTATACTGCCACCAAAAAAAAAAAAAAAGACAACTGTGGAACAACATTGACTGCACAGAAGCAGATCCAAATTTATGTTATGATTAATGAGATCAAAATTGTATTTATAGTAGTCCCCCCTTATTCACGGGGGATACATTGCAAGATCCCACAGTAGATTCCTGAAGCCACAGATTGTACCAAACCCTATATGAACTGTGTGTTTTCATACACATACATACCTATGATAAAGTGTAACTTATAAATTATTCACAGTCATAGATAAACAAAAACTAATAATAAAATAGAACAATTATAACAATATACGGTAATAAAAGTTAAGTAAATGGGGTCCCTCTCTCTTTCTCAAAATGTCTTACTGTACTATACTCCCCTATTTTCAAACTGTGATAAACCACAGATAACTGAAACTATGGAAAGTGAAACCATGGATAAGGTGGGGCTACTATATTATATTTCTAGAAGTTGGTGAACCTTTGAGAAAATTTTGGGATGGGACATAAACATATTTCAAAGAAGCTTCCAGTGTTATAGTTTATATTCTTCATTTCTTTGAGGCACAGAAGAACCCATTCCACTCTTTTGGAGTTAATCCAGGTTTGTGGGGTAAAGGACTGTAGCTAATGAGGATTGGAAGTCGGTGAGATATAAGGGGCTAGGAGGCAAGTTTTTGAAACATACTTGAACAGCATGGCACCTATATGGAATGGAAGAGAAAGCAGCATAGTGGTGAGGAAACTCTGGTGACTGAAGACATTCTCAGGTGAAATTTTTAGGAGAAAAAGCTATTTTAAGAGAATTTTAAATCATTTTCCTTGGTATTAGAAACACAATTCTAATTCAATGTTTTTCAAGAGATTGCAATAATGGTTTGGAGTGTTTTAAATGGTGCAGTGGGAAGTTTATTCTTGCTTGTTAAAGAATGCCACATTAGAACTGCTTTCAAGAACAGAACAAGTTATCCTGAATTTATGTTGGATAAATTTTTTAAAATGTAGTACATAATAAAAGCAGACTTTTAATTCAGTGGAATGAGGGAAAATTACTAAAAATGATGTTGGGTCTATTGGTTATTTAGTAGGAAAATAAAAAGAGCCCATACATACACACATACAGAGATGATATTGAGCTAGATTAAAAGTTTAAATGTAAATCAAGAAGGAACTCAAAATATAGAAAAAGATACATGTTAATATTTATTTTATTAAAAAGTGTTGGAATGATTTAAAGTAACAAAAAAGAAAGAAACCATACAAAAAATATTGTTAGACTATATTTTTAAATAATCATAAATACAACCACAACTTAAATGAAAAATCAAGAGTTAATATGTGAAATGTATATCAATTTTTAAGCATTGCGCTATATTAAAAGAAAGTGCTTATAGTGCAGCGTGTAAACCTTAAATGAGCAAAATATATTGTGTTAGTTTCCTAGCCACTGTCACAGAAAACTGGTACAAATGCAGAAGCTTAGAACAAAACCCATTTATTATATCAGTTTTCTAAGTCAGAAGTCTAGGCAGAGCTCAACTGGGCTTTCTGCTTAGGATGTCACAAGACTCAAGTCACAGAGCCATTGTAATTCTCACCTGAGTTTGGGTTCCTCTTCCAAGCTCATTGCCTGTTGGCAGAATTCATTTCCACATATGACTGAATTCCATGTTTTCAAGTTGGCTGTCAGCCAGCAGTCACTGTCAGCTCCTACTGGCCACTCTCAGGTCCTTGCCACATGGCCCTCTCCATCTTCAAAGTCAGCAATAGATAATGTTTCTCACATCCAATCTCCCTCTTTAGGAAAAGTTCAGTCCCTTTTAAAGGCTCACCTGATTAGGTCATGCTCACCCACAAAAATCTCCTTTTTGTAACGCCAAATGTGGTCAACACACAATCCAATCACAGTAGTGATTATTCCATCATATTTGCAGGTTCTACCCACAGTCAAAGCAAATGAGTTTTAGAAGGCATGTACAACAGGAGGTAATAGGTATTCTTAGGGGCCATCCTCAAATTTTATTTGCCATATTCACCCCTCTGGCCACCAGTAAGTTTGGTAACTCTCAAATGGAAAATATATTCACCCCTTCCCAAGGTCTCCCCAAAGTCTCATCCAATTACAGCCTCAGGTCAAGTCTAATATCCTATCTAAATCTTGTTAGTTCAAAGACCAAATTCTCAGTGCCTCCGTAGCAATTACAGGACCTGGAGGTGTGAGACTCAGGAACTTGACAGAATGTCCAGTTATAACTACGGACAGAGTCATGAAATGGGTTTATTAATATCTTATGCAGGGGACCAAGTATGTAAATGTCATTGAATCCCTGGGGATAGAGACAGGGAAGAACAGGAATCTGATGAAATTTACAGTCATTTAACTATAAAGGCTGGGTGCTGTTTTTTTTAACCCACAACTAACTTTGCTGGCAGGTTATTGAGAAGACACACCTAAGAGAATAATTAATTATACCTACAGGACCCCTTCTTCACCAAGACAGAAATAAAAATGAAGTCATTATTATTAGTGTTATCTGCACTCATCTTATTTATTTCATATACTTATATAGTATACACCAGAATATTTTATAAAATTAATTTTGTCTCCAATGAATTTATATTCTAGATGTTGATTTCACTGTCTTAATCCATTTTCCATTGATTATAATAGAATACTTGAAACTGAGTAATTTATAAAGAAACAACATTTCTTTTTTTTTTTTTTTGAAATGGAGTCTCACTTGCTCTGTTGCCCAGGCTGGAGTGCAGTGGCACAATCTCAGCTCACTGCAATCTCCACTTCGCAGATTCAAGTGATTCTCTTGACTCAGCCTCCAGAGTAGCCTGAATTACAGGCATGTGCCACCGCACCCAGCTAATTTTTGTATTGTTAGTAGAGATGAGATTTACCTTGTTGGCTAGGCTGGTCTCAAACTCCTGACCTCAAGTGATCCACCCACCTTGGCCTCCCAAAGTGCTGGGATTACAGGCATGAACCACCACACCTGACCTAAAATTTACTTCTTATAGTTCTGGAGGCTTGAAAGTCCAAGAGCATGGTGCCAGCATCTTGTGAGTGCCTTCTTGCTTGTGGGGAACCCCTGCAGAGTCTTGATACAGTTCAAGGCATCACATGACAAGGGAGCAAAGAGGGCTAGCTCAAGTATCTCTTTCTGTTATCGAGCCTTAATACTCCATCCTCATGACCTCATCTAATCCTAATTACCTTCCAAAAGATTCTGCCCCTGAAATATCATAGTCTGATTTTCCACCCTGTGAATACTGTTACAATGGGGATTAAGTTTCAGCATGAGTTTCAGAGGGGACAAACATTTAAGCCATAGCTTTTCACCCCTGCCTTTCCCCACAAAACTCATATCTTTCTTCTTTGCAAATACATTCATTCCATCCTCGGAGCCCTAAAGTCTTAACTTGTTCTGGTATCAACACAGAAATCCAAAAAAACGTCCGATCTGTGAGCCTGTGAAATTAAAACCAGTTACCTACCTCCAAGATATAATGCTGAGACAGGAGAAATAGGCCAGAAGAAAGGAGTTACAGGCCTCAAGGAAGTCCGAAACCCAACAGGAAAGACATTCAATTTTAAAGCTGGAAATAATATCTTTTGAGTCCATGTCCTTCATCCTGAGCACACTGGGGCAGGAGTTGGGCCCTCAAGGCCTCTGGCAGTCCTGCTCCCATGGCTTTGGTGGTTGCAGCCCACATGTGGCTGTTCTCGTGGATTAGAGTCAGGCGCCTTGTCTTTTCCAGGCTCTCATTGCATGTTGGTAGCTCTACAGTTCTGGAGTCTTGGTGGCAGTCCTGCTGAAGCGGTGTCCTTGTCTGGGGTAATACATGAGGTTCATTGTCCCACAGCCATGGAAAACTAGGACATGGACACACCAGAGTGAGGTTAAGAGTGGAAGTTTAATAGGTGAAAGAAAGAGAAAAAAATAGGGAGCCAGTTCTGGAAAAAATGGGTAGCCAGTTCTTGGTAAAAATGGGTAGCCAGTTCTGTGGTGAAATGCATGGAGTTTTATAGACTAGCTTGAAAAGGTGGTGTCTGATTTACATAGGGCACGAAAGATTAGTCAGACCAGGTGTGCCATTTGCATAGCACATGAAGAAGCTGGCCACCCACCCTAATATTTTATTATGCAGATGGGTTCTTTACCTGGCTGGCGCCATGTTGCCTGCTTTTTACTGTACACGTGGTGACAAAGAGAAGGGGAGATGGAGCCTCCACATTGAATGCACCTTTTCTATTGGCACAGCTGCCAGCATTCACCCATGCAAGCTTCCAGCTTCCTTTCCTATGTCTGCAGCTCTATTTTCTGGCTGCTCTTTGTTAGGAAAGAAATGATTTTGAGGCTATGTTTTGTTAAAAGAGAAACCATGCTGAGGACTCTCTTACCCTCACTATCTGCCTAAATAATTTTTTTTTTTTTTTGAGATAGAGTCTTGCCCTGTCACCCAGGCTGGAGTGCAGTGGTGCAATCTTGGCTCACTGCAACCTCTGCCTCCAGGGTTCAAGCAATTCTCCTGCCTCAGCCTCCTGAGTAGCTGGGATTACAGGTGTGCACCACCATGCTTGGCTAATTTTTGTATTTTTAGTAGAGATGGGGTTTTGCCATGTTGGCCAGGCTGGTCTTGAACTCCTGACCTTGTGATCCACCCACCTGGGCCTCCCAAAGTGCTGGGATTACAGGTGTGAGCCACTGCGCCTGGCCTCTGCCTAAATAATTTTTTTAGCTCCTTTATCATATTTCCTCCCTCAGAAGTGGTAACCCTAACTGCTGTTATGGGGCATTGGACAATTACTCTCTCTGGCTACTTCCTGCTGTAAAGGGACACCATGGGGGAACAGCAGCCAGGGCTCCTCCTGGGGTTGATCTAAGGGTCCTCAGAAGAATGACGTGTCCATGTGTGGTTCCGTCTGCAGCACCATTTGGAGTTTAATAGCTTCTAGGAGAGATGAGATAAATTTTACAAGAAGGTTTAGAACATGTTCTAACATAGGGTTTGAATATGAGTATTGAGATTATCATTATTAGTGGGGGTGCTATAGGCAACAACATGACAGTAGAGTTTGTTTGATACCTCCTAGCCATTCCAATGAGTTGTAATACTGGTTTGCCTCCACCAGATGTTGCTGTACTTTACCAGAAATGTTAATATGAAAATAACATTCTTTTTAGGATAAGTGGCATTGGATTGGGTGGCTAGAGTAACTTTAGTGTTAACTTTGGCTAAATTTTCCTTGTAATTATTAATCCTTTTACAACATACACAGACTATCTATAACATGCTTAAACTTTGTAACTTGTCCTAAACATCTCTCTTTTTAAACAACCAGCTATTTTCTTTAGGACAAGAATTTACCGTACAAGATCCTTTCTTATATAAAATCTCTTTTCTTTATAACCTTCTTTGCATAGCTAGGGTCCACAGTTGATATCATAGGAACTAAAAGATTTGACATATTACCAAACCCAATAAAAAGTCCTACCAGACTCAGTAATAGTAAAACCTTCATGGTTACTTCTTGTTGGTAACTATTATCCTTGCTATAAGGATAATAATTAAGCAAAATACTATGGAAATTGAGATTCTTTGTCTGATATTCCACTGTGGGGGTGCTACAGTATATAGTCCTACTGCAAACAGTAGAGTCAGTATAACAATTCCTGTAAGGGTGGTGTAGTAGATAATTTCCATCTAAAATTCTACTTACCAAGATATAGAACTTCCCTTTGGAGGTCTATGAAGTTACACATGTAATCCCATGGATAATCAAAATCTCCCTGCAAATACGCATTAAAAAGAAGTTCTAATATCTGGCGACAAATCTTGAGAGGAAAAGTAGAAATGGCTGAAAGCATCTGGTAAGGTAGAGGTGGGACTGAGTAGGATGAGTAGCCTTCAGTCATTTTCTTAACTTTTATGATTTTTAGCTTAAGATCGCCTATTTCTTCGCATTGATACCCAGGACGTTTCTCTAGGCTGTCAGGGGTTGCTTCCTCAGATTTCCTCAGATTTGTGTCAGAGATTGACTCAAGTGTGATGTATCCAGCAGTTGATACCTGTAACTTTTACAATCAAGGCAGTTGAAAGGAGAATGGTGTAAGAACCTTCCTGGTTTGAGCTTAGGGAGGGAGAAGGAGAAAGGTAAGCTTTTACCAATACCAAATATGGGGCTCCTGCACAGTAACAGCAGTTCGAGTTCCTGGAGCTGGGAGTTTGAGCCCCAGGACCCATCAGTCCTGCTGGACCATTTGTGAGACTGGTTCTCAACTTGGTGACCTCCATCTCCAGGCACAGTCCAATCTCCAGTGGTCCCCAACACAGGTTGGATAGGGGACCACATATAAACAGTGGGCCTGAAACCTGTTTTTATGAATAAAACTTTATTAGAACACAGCCATATTATTTTAATTATACATTGTCTATGGCAGCTTTAGCTCTATAATAACAGAACTGAATAGTTGTGAAATAAACTGTATAACCTGAAACCCTAAAATATTTTCTATTGGTCTTAAAGAAAAATTTGCTGACCTCTGATCCAGGAAATCAACAAAACAATAAGATGATTCATAACATTTGGTGATTTCCGTAGTGTAATCCTCCCACTGTAGCCAACTGCAAGTTACCAATCTGCTCTCACTGAATGCAGAGTTGGGAAGAGATACGCAGTAGATCACCCTTAAATAACATTTCCAATACACATTTACAGTAGATGCAAATGACCTCAAGAGCTAGAACAATTGTAACATGTGGCAAAATAATTAAGAAGTAATGAGTTTTTAGTATGTATCTCTTTTATTTTTAATATTAATTGTAAGCTTATACAATTTAATTTTTAATAATGGCTATGCTTAACAACTGATTTGAAAATTCACAGAACAATTGACTCTCGCAAGCTTGTAGGAGCTGGCTCCAGCACATCACTGCATGTCTGCTTAGAATAATTCTAGTTTCTTTAATGTGTTGTATCCTCTTAACAGAATCTTCGTGAAATATTATGTTTCAGCTTCCACTCACAGCTGTAGCTGGGATTTCCCTCTTTGTTTTTTACATCTACAGATCTCCCTTCTTGAATCTTTAGCTTTTATGTGTAATTTATTGTGATAATTTTCTAGCATTTTATGTCTTTAATGTAGATAGAGGTATTCTCCAAAAGATCTCATGCTGTAATATTGATGGGTCGCCTGATTTCTTGCATTTCTACCACTCATTTCCCACTCTGAAAATTAAATTCCTGTTGTTGCAGAAAATACCTGGTTCTCGTCACACAACCAGGAAAATTTAGGCACACAGACACATTGAAAAGTGAGTAGAACAGGGTTTATTGGGTGAAAAGGAAAAAAAGAAAGAGGAACTCTCAGCAAAGCCAGAGGGAGTCCTCCTAGCAGGCCTCCACCTTACAGATTGAAAACCAGGCGACCACACAGGAAGTGGAGAGGGCAGGCTCCTCCCTTCTGCACAAAGTGGGAACTTCCCATGGCTCCACCCCATGCTCCCAGTGATCACGTGGGTTGGAGATTCTCCAGGGACCCACTCGCTTATCTGCCTCCTGCATCTATCAGTGTTTTATCCCTCACCCTGGAGCTTCATTTATTGAACACTACAGATAGAAGTTACTGGTGTTTTCTGACATGGCCTCATGATTGGTAGCGGGTATTAGGATTTCATGCTTCTATCAAGTTTTGCCCTAACAGCAAGTGGGACATTTTGGGAGGAGGCAAGTAGTTGGAAGTTGGGTTTAAATTTGTATCAGTCAGGTTCCTGGCAGGAAAAGGATGGCAAACTCAAATTTGCTAATTTGAGGAGAGTTTTAATAAAAATTCTATTTACAAAGCTATGAGCATCAGAGTGTAGGCAAACAATAGGGACAGAGACGTAACCTGGGCTAGGGACAGCAGGTAACAGGAGTCCTGTTACACCCTCAAGCCTGAAGAGATGAGGGAAGAGAGTGATGAGAGGGCCTTGGAGTCAGAGAGTGCTGTGTCGAGAGAGTCACCTGACAGCATATGTGACCCTCTGGTTGAATAAAACTGCCAGCCTTCCATGACCTGCCCAGAGACTGAGTGTGGAGAAAATTAGCCCACTTCCTTCCTTTCCTCTGATCCCCTGATTCTGTTCTTCATTGCTCATATCAAACCAGAAGCCAGGAGGTAATCCACACAGGTCAGCTGCTGTTGGGAGCACAGAGCAAGGAAGAGAAGAATGGGAAATAAATATGAAGGACTAAATGGAAGAACTGTGGTTGGGATGGGGGAGCATGGAAACTAGGAGAAAAGTGGTCACAGATTGGAAGGGAAGAATCAGGTGTTGTAAACTCAAATCCATTAGTTGAATGGTTTTTCCTATTTTTGGAAGTTCATAATCAAGAGTGATTTGGGAAGGAAGCTTATCATGCACTGAGTGGACTTCAGGACTATGTATATTAAAATAAAAGTCATGGCTGTTTGTATAAAGTCAAATGTACCCCAATATCCCTTCCCCTTCCCCTTCTTTCCATCGACTTTTATTTTCCTTCTCCTCCTCCTTCTTCTCTCTCTGTCCTGCATATACATCTAAGGTGCAAAGATTTTGAATGACCCTAATGCATTTGCATTCCTCACTGTCATCATTGGTCCAAGCTTAGTTATTTATTTTTTTAATTCTAATTTTAATTTTAATTTTTTTTTTGGAAATGGAGTCTTGCTCAGTCGCCCAGGCTAGAATGCAGTGGCGTGATCTCGGCTCACTGCAACCTCCACCTCTCAGGTTCAAGCAATTCTCCTGCCTCAGTCTCCTGAGTAGCTGGGATTACAGGTGCATGCCACCACACCCTGGTAATTTTTGTATTTTTTTTAGTAAAGACAGGGTTTCACCATGTTGGCCAGGCTGGTCTCAAACTCCTGACCTTAGGTGATTCACCCACCTTGCCTCCCAAAGTGCTGGGATTACAGTTGTGAGCCACTGCACCCGGCTAGTTTATTATTTTTAATTTGTTTTTTGTTTGTTTTCAATAATGTAATAGGCACTGGTGAATCTACCACCTGGCACATAGATGAGAACATAGACAATAACTTTATAATATATTCAAGTCTATTAAGTCAAGCTTACTAATTGTGTTGTTTAGATCTTTTATATCCTACTTTTGCCTTCTTGACTTATAAAGAGCCCAGAAATGTATGTTAAAATATCATACTATAAATGGTAGATTTATTGCTTTCTACCTAAATATTATATTAATTTTGATTCATGTCTTTGAGGATATTTTATTAGATGTACCTATACTTATAGCTGCTATGTTTTTCTTTTCTTTTCTTTTCTTTTCTTTTTTTAGACAAAGTCTGGCTCTATCGCCCAGGCTGGAGTGCAGTGGTGCAATCTCGGCTCACTGCAACCTACGCCTCCTGGACTCAAGCCATCCTCCCACCTCTGCCTCCCAAGTAGCTAGGATTACAGACAACGTACCACCATGCCCAGCTAATTTTTGTTTTTTGCAGAGGCAAGTTTTCGCTATGTTGCCCAGACTGGTCTCGAAATCATAAGCTCAAGCGGTCCACCTGCCTCAGCCTCCCAAAGTGCTGGGATTACAGGTGTGAGCCCCTGTGACCAGTCTATGTTTTCCTTGACTAGGTGAATGTTTATCATTATATGAGTCTTTCTGTCCTACGATATCTTTTTCCTTAAAATTTGTTTTTGACATTAATAAATAAACACCATTTCTTAGAATTAGTTTTTGCATAATATGTCCTTTCTATGTTTTACACTTAATCTCTGAAATGACTTTTATGCTTTAGGTATGTGTCTTGTAAACAGTATAACCTGAATTTATGTTTTTGCATTCAATTTGTCAGTCTCTGTCTTCTGGTCACAAGTTTAGTCTATTTGCATTTACTAAAATTAATGAGATGTATGGACCTTTATATTATAATATTTTTCACTTTAATCTTTCCCATGATTTTACTGACATTTTTATCCTGTTGTCCCATGTCTAGAACCCATTCTAACATGTGTATCAGGCCTGGGTATGCTGCCTGGAAGGTGGATGTATTTTGCCTCCTACTTTGGGATGTGTTTTCAGTCTCTGTTAAGGTTTTGGTTGCTCATTTCTGGCATCCTCCTTCACACAGGAAATACCCAGACTCAGCCATTTGCAGATTTTGAAACATTGTTCTGGTTCTCTGCATATGGCCTGTCTCTGGACTCAACTCAACATCCCATGTCCTCGCTCAGACTATATAACTCTAGACCCAGCCTGTTAATATGGACTGCCTGTCTGCTTGTATTTTCTCAGAGAAACCTCTAAAAGAAATTATCAATTTCTTCGAAACATTAACTTGATAGGTTCTTTTTAAATCAAGTAATCTATTGAAAATTATATGGGTGCTCTAAACTATATCCCCTGGATAATCTAACCTGTAAATAGTTTGAACAGTTATCTTTTACAGCCAGAATAATGATACTAGTTAATACCAGAGGACTAATCTATAGGTAGATCATTTCCAAATTTACTGAGAGCTTAAAAGGAAATATATTTTGTAGGGAAACAAAGCATATTTTTCCAAGATCCAGTCAGTAGTGAAGGCATCTTAATAGTATCCAGGATCCTCACATGTGAAGAAAAGTGAACTAGGTAACAAATGAGAAGACTTACATACGCTTAGTTCTTGCAGGAGGAAAGGAACTATCTGGGTATGGAAAAGGTTACTAGGCAAGATTGTGATTGAAGAGAAAGGATAATGATAAAGGGGCTTTGCAGAAGCTCTGGTTAGAAGAAATAACTAATAGTAATGAATATGTATCTCTCCAACCAATGAGAAGCATATGATGAGGCAGAGTCACTTGTCTCCGGCAGTCCAAGCTACTAAGAAGCACAAATAAAATATATAGTAGCAGGGGGAGATGGGAAGGGTGAGAGAATGTAGGATAAATTACCATTCAAACTGCCAGTAGAAATATAAAATTTTAAGGAATAAATTCCACAAAAAAATACAGTGTTTTAATTACAAAAATTTACCATGCAGCATAAAGACATAAATGATTTAAGAAACATGACATGTTCAGAGACGGGAGTGTAATTTTGGGCTTGTATTTTCAAACAAAATTCATGTGACAATGAGAATTCAAACAGTTTAGATTATTAAAATTAAATTTAATGAAGTTGGTAGCTATATTCTGGTTATGTACAAGAATGTATCCTTTTCTTAGGAAATACTGAAGTACTTAAGGATAAAGAGTTCTGATGAGTGCAATTTCAGAAAAAAAAATATATAAGTACAAAATACTATTCTTATTGCAAGTTTTCTTTAAGCTTACTTTTTTTTTTTTTTTTTGAGCAGAATAGTTGCCCAGGTGCAGTGGCTGACTTATTTATTTTTTTTTAATTTTTTTAATATATATGTTTTATTATACTTTAAGTTCTAGGGTACATGTGCACAACGTGCAGGTTTGTTACATATGTATACATGTGCCATGTTGGTGTGCTGCACCCATTAACTCGTCATTTACATTAAGTATATCTCCTAATGCTATCCCTCCCTCCTTCCCCCTCCCCACAACAGGCCCGCATGTGTGTGATGTTCCCCTTCCTGTGTCCAAGTGTTCTCATTGTTCTTTTTACAAACTAAAATGAAAAAATCTACATGAGGCTATAAAAATATTACCTCTATAAAATAAAAACAAAATGGAATGTAAAAAGAGACTGGACACACCATAATGTGAAGATTCTCCTTTTTTGTGTACTCATATATCCAAAAAGGAAACTTTCCATTTTGTAGTTGGGAAGTAGAACCAAGATGTAGGAGTAGGAGGGGAGTTGAGAACCAACAATTCAGTAAAAATGCTTTCAGTCAATTCCCATCTGTACTCAAAAAAAAAAAAATTTTTTTTTTTGAGACAAAGTCTTGCTCTTGTCCCCCAGGCTGGAGTGCAATGGCTCGATCTTGGCTTACTGCAACCTCCGCCTCCTGGGTTCAAGCGATTCTCCCTCCTCAGCCTCCCGAGTAGCTAGGATTACAGGCACCTGCCACCACGCTTGGCTAATTTTTGTATTTTTAGTAGAGACAGGGTTTCACCATGTGGCCAGGCTGGTCTCGAACTCCTGACCTCAGGTGATCTGCCCTCCTCGGCCTCCCAAAGTGCTGGGTTTACAGGTGTGAGCCACTTCACCTGGCCTCAAAATTTAAATAATTAGGTAACAAACTATGACACAATTATATACAGTCCTTCAAAACAATGTTTTAGAAAGATATTTAATGACAAAATAGAGTTGTTTACCATATGTTAAATTTAAAAGGAGTTACAAATTAGCACATTCACTGTGATCTAAAACCTCTAAATCTGTTTATGTTTTTATTTATATCTACATTTATACCTTTGAAGCCCTCCCAATATCAACTGTCACCCAAGTGACAATAAAAGTGATCTTGTTTTCTTCTGTTCTTGGTTATAATTCTAAGACGGTCTGACAAGTCTATTGTGATTGACTTTAAAAATACAGGTGTTAAATGAAATCTGTATGTGGAACTATTGGTCTCAATGATATATGCAACTCTGGAAGTTGGGTACTCAGCTTTATCTAATCTCTCCCTTTGCTCACCTCCACCAGGCTTGCAATGCCCTCTACAGTCCAGGCAACAGGTACACGGTTTTCAATCCCATTTGAACTGCTTCCGGGTCTCCCTATGTTGCCTAGGCTGGTTTCATACTCCTGAGCTCAAGCAATCCTCCCACCTTGGCCTCTCAAATTGCTCAAGCATCTTCTCTGAACCCAGTGGAATAAAACTGGAAATCAATAAGAAGAGAAATTTGGGAAACTATAAAAATACATGGAAATTAAACAATATGCTCCTGAATGACTAGTGGGTCAATGAAGAAATTAAGAAGGAAATTGAAACATTTATTGAAACAAATGACAATGAAAACAACATATCAAAACCCATGGGATACAGCAAAAGGAGTAATAAGAAGGAAGTTTATAGCTATTAAGTGCCTACGTCAGAAAAGGAGAAACTTTAAATTAGCAATCTAATGATGCATCTTAAAAACTAGAAAAGCAAGACGGGAACCAAAGCAAAAATTAGTTGAAGAAAAGAAAAAGTAAAGATCAGAGTGGAAATAAATGAAACTGAAAAAAATACAAAAGATCTATGAAACAAAAATTTGCTTTTTTGAAAAGTTAAACAAAATTGACAAAACTTTAGCCAGATGAACTAAGAAAAAAGGAGAGAAGATACAGATAAATAAAATCATAAATGGAAAAGGAGACATTACAACTGATACTGCAGAAATTCAAAGGATCATTAGTGGCTGCTATGAGAAACTATATGCTATAAATTGAAAAATCTAGAAGAAATGGACAAATTCCTAGACACATGCAACCTACCAAGATTAAAATAGGAAATAAGTCAAAACCTAAAAAGATCAATAACAAGTAACAAGATCAAAGTCACAATAAACAGTCTACCAGTAAATAAATTCCAGGACCTGATGACTTCACTGCTGAATTCTACCAAACATTCAAAGAAGAACTAATACCAATCCTACTCAAATTATTCCAAAAAATAGAGGAGGAGGGAATACTTCTACAAGTATTTTATGAGGGAATACTTCTAAACTCATTCTATGAGACCAGTATTACCCTGATACCAAAACCAGACAAAGACACATTAAAAAAAAAAACACTGTAGGCCAATATCTCTGATGAATATTAATGCAAAAATCCTCAACAAAATATTAGTAAACTGAATTAAACAATACATCAGAAGGTTCATTCATCACAATCAAGTGGGATTTATTGCTGGGATGCAAGGATGGTTCAACATACACAAATTAATGTGAGACATCACATCAACACAATGAAGATAAAAATAAAATGATCATTTTAATTGATGCTGAAAAAAGCATTTGATAAAATTTAACATCGCTTCATGTGAAAAATTCTCAAAAACTGGGGATATAAAGAACATACTTCAACATAATAAAAGCCATATATGACAGACCCACAGCTAGTATCATACTGAATGGGGAAAAACTGAAAGTCTTTTTTCTAAGATCTGGAACATGACAAGGATGCCACTGTCACCACTGTTATTCAACATAGTACTGGAAGTCCTAGCTAGAGCAATTAGACAAGAGAAAGATATAAATGGCATCCAAATTTAAAAGGAAGAAGTCAAATTATCCTTGTTTGCAGAGGATATGATCTTATATTTATAAAAACTTAAAGACTCCACAAGAATACTATTAGAACTGATAAATTCAATAAAGTTCCAGGATATAAAATCAGTAGAATTTCTATATGCCAATAGTGAACAATGTGAAAAAGAAATTTAAAAAGTAATTCTATTTAAAATAGCCACACAAAAATGAAATACCTAGGAATTAACTTGACCAAGGAAGTGAAAAATCTCTATAATAAAAGAAACTGAGGAGGACAAAAAAAGGAAACATGTTCCATGTTCTTGGCTTGGAAGAATCAATAGTGTTAAAATGTCCATACTACCCAAAGCAATCTACAGATTCAACGCAATCACTGTCAAACAACCAATGACATTTCTCACGGAAATGGAAAAAAAAATCTTAAAATTTGTATGGAACCACAAGACTCAGAATAGCTAAAGCCATCCTAAGCAGAAAGAATAAAACTAGAAGAATCACATTACTGACTTCAAATTATGCTACAGAGCTATGGTAACCAAAACAGCATGGTACTGGCATAAAAACAGATGTATAGACCAGTGGAACAGACTAGAGAACCCAGAAGCAAATCCACACACCTACAGTGAACTCATTTTTGACAAAAGTGCCAAAAATGGCCATCAGAGAAATGCAAGTCAAAACCACAATGAGATACCATCTCACACCAGTTAGAATGGCGATCATTAAAAAGTCAGGAAACAACAGGTGCTGGAGAGGATGTGGAGAAATAGGAACACTTTTACACTGTTGGTGGGACTGTAAACTAGTTCAACCATTGTGGAAGTCAGTCTGGCGATTCCTCAGGGATCTAGAACTAGAAATACCATTTGACCCAGCCATCCCATTACTGGGCATATACCCAAAGGATTATAAATTGTGCTGCTATAATGACACATGCACACATATGTTTATTGTGGCACTATTCACAATAGCAAAGACTTGGAACCAAGCCAAATGTCCAACAACGATAGACTGGATTAAGAAAATGTGGCATATATACACCATGGAATACTATACAGCCATAAAAAATGATGAGTTCATGTCCTTTGTAGGGACATGGATGAAACTGGAAACCATCATTCTCAGCAAACTATCGCAAGGACAAAAAACCAAACACTGCATGTTCTTACTCATAGGTGGGAATTGAACAAAGAAAACACATGGACACAGGAAGGGGAACATCACACTCCGGGGACTGTTGTGTGGTGGAGGGAGCGGGGAGGGATAGCATTAGTAGATATACCTAATGCTAAATGATGAGTTAATGGGTGCAGCACACCAACATAGCACATGTATACATATGTAACAAACCTGCACATTGTGCACATGTACCCTAAAATTTAAAGTATAATAATAATAAAATAAAATAAAATAAAAAGAAACTACAGACAATTTCAAAATGAAAAAAAAAAGTGCCAAAAACATACACTGGGGAAAAGACAGTCTCTGCAATAAGTGGTGCTGGGAAAACTGGATATTCATATGCGGAAGAATAAAACTAGATTCCTTTCTCTCATCATATACAAAAATCAAATCAAAGTGGATTAGGGACTTAAATCTAAGACTTCAAACCGTGAAACTACTACAAGAAAACATTAGGGAAAATCTCCAGGACATTGGTCTTGGCAAAAATTTCCTGAGTGATACCCTACAAACACAACCAACCAAAGCACAAATGGACAAATGGGATTACATCAAGTTAAAAAGCTTCTGAACACAAAGGATACAATCAACAAAGTGAAGAGACAACCCACAGAATGGAAGAAAATATCTCCAAACTACCCATCTGACAAGGGATGAATAACCAGAATATATAAGGATTCAAACAACTCTATAGGAAAAAACTAATAATCCAATCAAAAGTTGGGCAAAAGATTTGAATAGATGTTTCTCAAGACATACAAATAAGACATACAAATGACAAACAGGCATATGAAAAAGTGCTCAACATCATTGATCATCAGAAAAATGCAAATCAAAACTACAATGAGGTATCATCTCACTCCAGTTAAAAATGGCTGATATCCAAAAGACAGGCAATAACAAATGCTGGGAAGGATGTGAAATAAAGAACACTTGGACACTATTGGTGGGAATGTAAATTAGTACAACTACTATGGAGAACAGTTTGGAGGTTCTTCAAAAAACTAAAAATTGAGCTCTCATATGATCCAGCAATCCCACTGCTGGGTATATACTGAAGAGAAAAAAAAAGTCAGTATATCAAAGTATCCATCAACAGTTGAATGGATAAAGAAAATGTGGCACATATACATAATGGAGTACTATTCAGCCATAAAAAAGAATGAGATCCAGTCATTTGCAGCAACCGGCATGGCAGTTCCATAAGTGAAATAAGCTAGGCACAGAAAGACAAACATCACATGTTCTTAGTTATTTGTAGGATCTAAAAATTAAAATGATTGGATTTATGAACATAGAGAGTAGAAGGATGATTACCAGAGGTTGGAAAGGTAGTGGGGGATCAGGGAGGGAGGGATATGGGGATGGTTGATGGGAAAAAATTGGAAAGAATGAACAAGATCTACTATTTGATAGCAAAACAGGACGACTATAGTAAATAGTAACTATACATTTAAAATAACTTCAAGAGTGTAACTGGATTGTTTGCAACTCAATGGATAAATGCTTGAGGGTATGGATGCCCATTCTTCATGATTTACTGGTTTCACATTGCATCCTTTTTTTCAAAACATCTCATGTACCTCATAAATATATACACTTACTATGTGCCCACAAATATTAGTAATAAACACAATTTAAACAAATTAGAGCCCACACATCCCATACACATACTTCCCATATTAAAGCCCAAACATCTCATATAAACACTTTATTATTTGAAATTCTTGGCCATGGAATATCGTATACTTTCATTTAATTTCTTCACCAACTCTATCCAAAAACAAAAAAAAACCCTTCAATCCCCATATGCACAGATCTTTGTTAGTCATATCTGCTCATGGACTCAACAAACAGTAATTGAGTCCACTGACTGCATTTCGGAAATCCACACTCATGATCTTCATCTGTATGTTAAATAAATCAGAGCCATCGTGAGAGCATGTCATCATGGGGAACACAAGTGGCTGAGTTAGATTCATCAAAAAGATAAAATTTGTTATCATAACAAAGGGCTAACTCACAGAAGCCAAAGAAGATATGTAAAAGGATTGATCTAAGGATAGTACACTGTGTGTTATACAAGAAATCCTCTGTGTATTTCTTATCTCTAATTTTCTCTGCCTGTCATCTTCATTATTTTCTATATCTCTGCTTTCAGATTCACATAGTACAAAATGGTCCCTGCCAAGATGTTCTCAATTCATCTCTCCTTTGCCCTAGGGCTTCTTTTCCTAGACCAGTCAGTTGCTTACTGTACACCAGTAAAGTGTTGCCAGGGGATGAGTTCACATTACAGTACATGAACATAGCTACTCCTGATGTGAGCTTATGGAGGGGATGAGGGAGTGGTGCAGGTGATACACAAAGGATCTGCTGGTCTGCACATCAGACTCAATATTCTCTACTACAAGGAGACAGGATATAAGCCCAGTCCACCTGCTTCGTTCTTTGACAGTACATTTCATTCAAAATAAGTACAAGTGCAAAAATCTGTGGTAGTAAATCTACTGCACTTTTCTTATGTCTGACACTAATAACCCAAGAAAAACTATAATAAAATATTTCTGATTTTGAAATTAGCCTGCCACAGTTTGCATGGAAATTTACTACTGGTAAGCCCTTGTTTCTCTATCCCCTTACTCAGCTTTCTTCGTTTGTATCTTCATAGCAAGAATCACCACCTAATACTGCATATCTGTTTATTATGTGATTATTTTTTCTTTCCTGCTAGAATTAAAACTCATAAAGGTAGGGACATTTTTACCTTGCTGACTATTTTATCTGGAATAGTACATAGCACTTAGTAGGAGCTAAATAATTATTTGACAAATGAATGGATACATTAATTGATGAATTTGATGTCCAAATCTAGGCTGCTTTTGTTTACATAAACCTCTGTTTTCCACTAGTCACATTCTCTGCCTGCTACATGGAGAGGACCATTATTCGGGATTTCAGTTCTGCTCTAAACACTTGGATCCTTTCGCAATCAGGGATCTTCAATTTCTCCACTTGGTGTTTTGCTCAACAAATGAAAGTGCCTTTGAATATTCACACTTGGTCTTCCAAAACCACATCAGCTTTTAGAACAATGTTTCTAGACAATTTATTAGTAACCCTTCAAAGGTGTGCTCCCCAATTTTTGTGAATGTGTAATTATATTTAAACTGAAATGACATAATGTTTCTGTGTCAAATATTGTAGAGAAAGTTGACCATCTTTGCATACGCTATTTGCCATTTGAGTTCTTCTGTGAATTGCCTGTTCACCTACTTTCCAACATTGCTATTAGGTTATTTAACTCTTTCTTATTGATTTGAGTAGTACTTTATTTCTTCCCTTGTGTAATATATGTATTTAAAGTATCTAAATATATTTCATGACTATGTTGTCCAACTTTTGTAATACATATCAACAAATATCTACCTGTTATATCCATTTTTAAGAAATACATAAAATGTAATAACTTGTACTTTTCTCACCCTTCTTTGCTTTTCTAAACAGTATTTATGTATTTCAACTTTTTAAAGTTTAAATATAATATACTTAAGTGTAGGTTGTTTTTGTTTTTTTAATCCTGCTTGGTATTCTCCTAGATTTGTAATCGGTGATTCGTTGTCTGTCATTAATTTTGGCAAGTTCTCACCTGGCTTCTACAACATCAGACTCTTGCGGCTTCCTCAGCACCCAGCTTTTGCAGTGTAGAGCAGCCAGCAACGCCCAGCAGCTTCGTCAGGCATGCACACCCCCTTTAGCAGTTTTACAGCAGAGAGTGACCACCACCACCCCACTTCCATGAACCTTACAGGAACAGCTTTCCCCAACACCCTAGAGGAAGGATTTCTGACAAGTCCCAGAGGGTGGATTACAGCAAACTACCGCTGGAGCAGCAGTTCAACAACTACCTCTCTGCCATTCAGTGAGCCATGGAAGTGCCTCCCTAACAAGGTCTGACCTCACCCTTGGAAAGAAAACTGGAGAAGGCTCCTTCTTGGGTACTCTATCTTAACCTAGGTGATGGGTTAATATCGAGTGTCAACTTGATTGAATTGAAAGATGCAAAGTATTGTTCCTGGGTGTGTCTGTGAGGGTGTTGCCAAAGGAGATTAACATTTGAGTCAGTGGACTGGGAGAAGCAAGACCCACCCTCAATCTGGGTGGGCACCATCTAATCAGCTGCCAGCACCACTAGGATAAAAGCAGGCAGAGGACCGTAGAAGGACTAGACTAGCGGTCTTCCACCCTTCATTTTTCTCCCTTGCCAGGGGCTCTGAGACCTTCAACCACAGACTGAAGGCTGCACTGTCAGCTTCCCTACTTTTGAGGTTTTGGGACTCGGACTGGCTTCCTTGCTCCTCAGATTGCAGACGGTCTATTGTGGGACTTCACCTTGTGATCATGTGAGTCAACACGCTTTAATAAACTCCCCTTTATACATACATCTATCATATTAGTTCTATCCCTCTAGATAACCCTGACTAATACACTAGGGAAGTAGCCATTTCGTATTATATTATATTATGCACTATTATATCTGCCACTGCTATATTATTTAGAGTTCTCTTTACTTCTTTCTAGCCAATCTCTTATTACTCAGATCTCTTGTTAAGATTCGTATTTCTTTATATTGATCTTTCTCATTTTACATTACTGTGTGATTTCCTCTCTCTCCTGACTAGACCCATACTTATAAACCCATTAAATTTCATTCAGGCATGAATCTAGAATAAAAATTATTCTCAGACATGCAAAGATTAGAAAAATTTGCTTCCAGAATATCCTTTTTTGGATATTAACAGACGGTGTGTCGTAGCAAAATTAGGTAGTCAAAGCAAGTAAGAGGAAGATATCAGATACCTGAAACATTATCTTCTACCAAAGAAAACAATGAAGAGAATCCCAAGATGACATCTGCTCAGCAGTCCTGGAAATCATTTCTTTTAGATTGAAACTAGAGAACTAAGGGCACCAGGAAGTGGATAAACATGATAAGTATGATCCCATAAATTTTACAGTATTGTTGAGATATTCAAAACATCTGAGGATATGATTAAAAAGTAGACTACATATATGAGGGAAAAGAAATTGCAAATAGAACCTTCATAAAAATTAAAAGATGCCCAACAAAGGAAATATATTCTCAATAATGAGCACATACGTGTTTAAAAAATACCTGGTTACAAACAAACCATAAATACTATCGGGTTTCAAAATATTAAAGATAAATTATAAATGCCAGAAGTTGGGATATGAAATAAGGAAAAAAGTAGAGCAGGAAAGAATAGGGTTAGCAGTAGCTTCATCTACAAGGAGAAAACTCAAGAGATCTTGAATATAACTGATAGAATAATAGAGTACTGTGTTTAAAAATACAGGGATTGGCCGGGCGCGGTGGCTCACGCCTGTAATCCCAGCACTTTGGGAGGCCAAGGCGGGCGGATCACGAGGTCACGAGATCGAGACCATCCTGGCTAACACGGTGAAACCCCATCTCTACTAAAAATACAAAAAAAAAATTAGCCGGGTGTGGTGGCGGGCGCCTGTAGTCCCAGCTACTCAGGAGGCTGAGGCAGGAGAATGGCGTGAACCCGGGAGGCGGAGCTTGCAGTGAGCCAGTCGCGCCACTGCACTCCAGCCTGGGGGACAGAGCGAGACTCTGTCTCAAAAATAAATAAATAAATAAATAAATAAAAAATAAAAAATGCAGGGATTACCTACGGAGGAACTAAACATAGTAAGATAATAAAATCACAAGAAAGATGTCAGAGACCTAATTTTTGGTGGTTTAAATTATCTGGTTTCATAACAGGAAGTCAATGGATGTCTAAATTAATACCCCCACATACAAAAACATACGCATATTACTGTTAAAGTCATTGAACTGGGGATAATGACAGTGGAGGAAAGGAATGGCGTGAAGGGCTCTTGTTTTCATTAAAATACATCTCTATTGTTTAATCTTCAAACTATATACTGATATCCCAATACATTTAAAATAGTAATTGTAAAGTAAAATATCATTCTTACTGAAATATCAAGAATGCTGCAGATGGTGGCGGAATGTTCAATGTGAAAAAGGATAGTGGCTTGCACTAGAATGACAGCAGTGAAGTTTGTTTTAAGCATGTAATTTTATAGTACCAATCTCTTACCTGTGAGAGCATGTAAAAGACTGAGCTCCTCAGTTCTCAAACAAAAGCAGACTTTAACTCCTGCTCCAGCCATGCTTCTTTGCTTCTCAAACATCCAAAACTGCATCTCAGATTGCATCATATTCTGAACACATGGAAGGACGAGTACGGGAAATAAGAGTGGCTGTGTTACCACCCTCAAGGAATCCTGACCCCTCAAATCCAGACCTGCCAAGGGGCAAGGAAAAAAGGGAAAGCGGCAGCTCCCTTGAATTTCTAAAGTGCAATGTCCCCACCTACTGGTGAACATGACCCAGTTAACATCCCTACAGCTGTCCATGTCCTCCTAAAACAAGAACCTTGAACTTCTTCCAGTAGTATAGAATCCGTGTCCTTTAGCACAGTTCTACACCAAAAGATAAACAAAATATTAATCCAAAATTTTTACAATGCAATGAGGGTGTGGGAATGATAATTTTAAAATATGCCGCACAAGGTTAGTTTTAAAATAACGCCATCGTTAGCATTCCGTTTCCCTAGTATCTATCTACTCCTCACAGCTTCTGCTCAGATTGTCTTCTCTCCATTGTCTCTTCCATCTCCCTGTACAAACCTCCTCTCTTACACTGCCTTTCCTGCCAACACACTGCTTCCCCATGTGTTAAGTTGGCAGCCTTTTTTCCCTCTCATTGTTTTCTGGCTTCTGATATTTGAGATAAGAAATTTGATTCCAGTCTGGTTCTCGTCCTTTTATGTGTAAACTGTTTATTTCCTTCTTGGAAGCCAATAGATCATTTTTATTACCATTTTATTTTCTGATTGTGTAGTAAAAATTTTCATCCCTACAGCTACAGAACTATTTGTATATTTTCATGATTCCACTTGATTCCTTTAAATTGCATGAATCTTATCTAGCCAGAGACTAAAGTCTTCCTTTCCTTCAGAAAAAAAAAAACTTTGATTTTTTATTGTATCCTATATTTTTTCTATTTTTCCGGCACACCTATTATACAGCAGTTGGAGATGGCTGTATAGATAGAACTTTCTCAACATATTTTCACAATTTTATGTGTTCCAAGGTAGTTAAAACAGGAATCTGATTTCTTTTGTACTTTCTTTCCCACCCTCCTATTTTTTTAAGACTCAGAACCACTACTTGAACACTCTAATTGATAACTGCTTAGTTATTTCTCACCTGCCTTAAAGAGTGTTTCTTCATTATGCTCAAGAATGAGAGCAATTTAAAATGAAATCATTTTAACCTGTCTCCTCAGAGACAAGTTCTGTTGGCTTCTTTTTTTCCTATGTATTATGTGTTGGTAAAATTTTCCAGTTTCTTTGCATGTCTTGTAATTTTTGTTTAATATTGATATTTTACATAAATTCTGATTCCACAATCCCTAGGAGTAAGTGCTCTTGCTGTTTGTTGTTTGTGTTAGTGACTTGCTTGGGCTAGTTCTTCCAAGTCTGTTTCCCCCTAGTATGCAGCCTATGGTGTCTCTGCTAAGTTTGTTTAATAATTTTTGTTTTCATTATTAAGCCTGATTTCCTACAATCACCCCTGGTCATCATAGCTTAATGTCAGCCTATGACTGATGAAAGATTCTGCTTAAACAATTGAGTCAGTAAGGCTTCCACACTTTGCCATTGAACTGAGTGGGATGTGGGAAATGCTTTCAAAGTTCCGGGACTTTACAGGTATGTCCCAATTTTTACTTTCTGCCTTCACATGTCCTTATATTCAGCCAGGTGTCTCCTGAGCAGGCTTAATCAAGCTGATGCAGACAGCTTTCCACACCACTGGGGATAAATGAGATTTTAGCAAGGCTATTTTTGACTATCTCATTCTCTGGATCTCCCTGGTAAAATTCCTGACTGGCCTGCCATCATGACTTCAAGCTAGTTGAGATGTTAGCCTTCCATAATTATTTGCCCTGAGGTCTATGCTGTTTTCTACAAAACGCCAAGACGTTATTTTGAGGGTGTGTGTGTGTGTGTGTGTGCATGCATGTGCGTGAGCTCTTTTCCAAAAAATGTGTGTGAGCTCCCTCTGGCAGGTTAAGAAGAGCTGTTTAATCCCATGGCCTGTCCTCCCACACAGGTAGAAATTCTGCACCATAAGTTGGGGTGAAGGAAGTTGGTGAAAGCATACTCTGGCCAAAATAATACTGATTTTGCTGTTTTTATTAGGATTCAGTTTAGATTCTCTTAACTAAATGCTTCTCAATGTTCGTATCCTTTGGTCAATTTCCAGAGTCTTTAAATGATTGTTTTTGGCAACTTTGTCCAATGTTCTCACTGCTTTTTAGATTCGTTGAAATGTTTTGATGTCAATATATGTGGTATATTTTTATGTATTTTCTACGTGAATTTGAAAATAAGCTGTATATAGCATTTGGTACATACACACTTAGGATTATATGTCTTTTTGATGTATTGACTCTTTTTCATTATGAAAAATTTATCTCCAGTAATATTCCTTATTTGTAAAGTTTTCTTTGTCTGATATTAATGTAGCCACTCCAGCTTTCTTGCCCAGTGTATATTTTTTCATCCTTATATTTTTAACCTGTGTCTTCATACTTAAAATGCATTTCTTATGGACAGTGTATGGTCAAAAGTCTTGCTTATTTATCCAGTTTAGAAATATGCATTTAATGTAATTACTGAAGTACTGGATTTAAGTCTACCCCCTTGCTGCTTTTTGTTTTTGGCCCATCTGTTCTTTTTCTCTTATTCCTCTTTACTTGCCTTTCTTAGTATATTTTTCTCCCTCCTAATGGTAACTGAGTAGAAAGATGTCAGAACTTAGGTCTTTAAGATTTGTGGAAATTTAAAACAATTTTTATTTTATTTTATTTTAGGCAGAGTCTTGCTCTGTTGCCCAAACTGGAGTGCAGTGGCGCACTATTTGTAGAACTTGAGTGGAAAATCCTAAATAAGAATACCACAGAGGAGAGCCCAAAATTCTGCATTTGAAAGAAATTTGCATGCAGAATAGGGGCCCCTCTTTGAGTTTTCATGTTTTTTGGGGATTTTTCTCCTCAATAGCAACTAATTCTTTCGGCACCAAACTCCAACCTCCGTCTTCTCTTCCTGGTAAGACTGCATCTTTCTGCTTGAGCTTTGTTCTACCATCTACTGCTTTAGACTGAAAAGCACTCTCAGGGGAAACTCACAGTAAACGTTGAACTCACCTAGTTACTTTCCTTTTCTCAATATTTATCTCCTGATGTATTCTGCATGCTTCAAAAGATCTCCAATGATTGCAAATTTTTAAGTCATTTTTATAGATTTCATAATTTTTGTTTCTAGAAAGGCTAGACGTAGACATATGGTTTTTAATATAAGTAAGTAGCTATAGAAATAAATGTATAGATGTTTATGTGTATGTCCACAAATAGGATCTTAGACTTTTGACATTCCCATAGCAATGAGCACACTTAACACACAGATCTTGATCTAGCTTTTTAACCAGACTCTTCTAAAAGAACCCAGAGCTATGACAGATTCTAGAGCTTGAGAAAAAAAATAAAAGATGATCATAGAAAGTAAGGATATTTAAGAATGGTGGATACGGCCGGGCGCGGTGGCTCATGCCTGTAATCCCAGCACTTTGGGAGGCCGAGGCAGGCGGATCACGAGGTCAGGAGATCGACAACATCCTGGCTAACACGGTGAAACCCCGCCTCTACTAAAAAATACAAAAAAAAAAATTGCCGGGCGTGGTAGCGGGCGCCTGTAGTCCCAGCTACTTGGGAGGCTGAGGCAGGACAATGGGGTGAACCCGGAAGGCGGAGCTTGCCGTGAGCCGAGATCGCGCCACTGCACTCCAGCCTGGGCGACAGAGGCGAGACTCCGTCTCAAAAAAAAAAAAAAAAAAAAAAAAAAAGAATGATGGATACGTGTCAGGTGTCAGAGATAAGAATATGTTCAAAGAATGGTAGATACATGCTCTTTACACAGATAGGCAAAAAATAACCAGAAGAAAGAATGCATACCACAAATACCTAAATCACAATAAATTCAGTATGATCATATTAATAACAAAAAAAAATCTTCATTAAAAATATGTTTTACCAGGAATAAAAATAAAACGAGTCATAATGATGGAAAAACCATAAGAAGAACATAACTTTTCTAAATATGTATGCATCTAATAATATGACTTAAAAATAAATGATACAAAAATTGACAGAAATGAAAATATAGATAAATTTGCAATCGTAATTAGAGATTTTTAAATGCTTCTCTCAATAATTGGTAAAAGAAATGAACAAAAAATCAGGAAAATATATTAAACAGTGGAATAGCACTAATAATTAAATCAACCTAACTGACACTTATAAGACATTAGACTAGAATATGCAATGGCAAAATACATATTATTTCAGGTGTACATGAAATATCCATCAAGATGAACAACATACTGGATCATAAATTTAGTCTCAAGAAATTCAACAGTATGCAAACTGGGTAGGGTATGTTCTCTGACCAAAAAAGATAAAAATAAAAATACCTCAACTAAATTAGAAAGCAGCACCAAACTGATAACCTGGAAATCCCCTAAATATACAGAAATTAATCAACATACTACCAAATAAGCCATAGGTCTAAGAGGAAATTACAAAGAAAATTAGAGAATATTTTAAGTGAATGATCATGAAGTTCATTATATCAAAATGTATGAGATAAAGCTGAAAGAGTGCTTGAAGGGAAATTAGTTTCTTTAAATGTATACATCAGAACTGAAGAGAAGTTTAAAATCAATGGTGTGAGCTTCTACCTTAAGAAGGTAGAAAAAGGAAAGCAAACTAAATCTAAAGAAGATAGAAGGTAGAAAGAAGGAATTAAAAAGCAAAGATGTGGAACCAACCCAAATGCCCATCAGTGATAGACTGGATAAAGAAAATGTGGCACATATTCACCATGGAATACTATGCAGCCATAAAAAAGAATGAGTTCATGTCCTTTGCAGGGACATGGACGAAGCTGGAAACCATCATCCTCAGCAAACTAACACAGGAACAGAAAATGAAACACCGCGTGTTCTCACTCATAAGTGGGAGTTGAACAATGAGAGTACATATCCAAGTCTCACATGTCTCAACAATGAGAACACACAAGGAGGGGAACATCACAAACCGGGGCCAGTTGGGGAGTGGAGGGAAAGAAAAGGGTGAGCATTGGACAAATACCTAATGCATGCAGGTCTTAAAACCCAGATGATGGATTGACTGGTGCAGCAAACCACCATAGCGCATGTATACCTATGTAACAAACCTGCATGTTGAGCACATGTATCCCAGAACTTAAAGTAAAATAAATAAAAAAAAGAAATGATTAAATGTGGCAAAGACAAATAAAAGAAAGAAGGAATTAATAAAAATGAAACCAGACAACAATGAAACAGAAAACCAGCAAACAGAAAAATTAACAAAGCTGGGCTGGGTGTGGTGGCTCACACCTGTAATCCCAGCACTTTGGGAGGATGAAGAGGGACGATCATTTGAAGCAATTCTCCTGCTTCAGCCTTCCCAAGTAGCTGGGATTATAGGCATGCGCCAACATGCCCGGCTAATTTTGTATTTTTAGTAGAGATGGGGTTTCTCCATGTTGGTCAGGCTGGTCTCGAACTCCCGACCTCAGGTGATCTGCCCACCTTGGCCTCCCAAAGTGCTGGGATTACAGGGATGAGCCACCATGCCGGGCTTAAAATGAAATTTTAATTGGCAAGAAGGCAGATGGTGAGAATTGTTGATCCAATAATAACATGAAGTCCATGAAAGCCTGTGGCTACAAAGAATGTTGAGCCATAGATTCCATCAGAGATAATAAAGGGGGCCTCGAAATATTCTGAGACTTGTAGAAGAGTGAAATAGACTCCTAAGAGGATCGTGATAAGTACTGCTTGAATTATTTGTTTTTGGTTACCTTCTATTAGGCTGTGGTGGGCTCAAGTAATTGAAACTCCTGATGCAAGTAATACAGACGTATTTAGGAGAGATACTTCTAAAGGGTTCAGGGGAAGAATACCTGTTGGGGGTCAATGTCCTCCTAATTCTGGGGTCGGTGCTAAACTGGAGTGATAAAATGCCCAGAAAAAAACCAGCGAAGAAGAATACTTTTGAGATAATAAATAGAAGCATCCCGTATCAGAGGTCTTTTAGGACAATTGTTGTGTGGTGGCCTTGTAATACACTTTCTCGGACAACATCACGTCATCACTGATGTATAGTCAGTGTGTTGGTTAGTAGGCCTAAAGTTAAAAGAGTGGTAGAATTAAAGTGAAATCATATGGCCAGGCCAGATGTTATTAGGAGAGCCGAGAGAGCTCCTGTTAGTGGTCAAGGGCTAGGTACAGCTATATGGTAGGCATGAGTTTGGCGGGTCATTATGTATTATCATGCAAATAAAGACTTACTAATAGTGTGAAGACATAAGCTTGAATAAGAGCGACAGCGAACTCGAGAATAGTTAGTAGAATTAGAATAATAAGAGATACTGAAGTTGCAGAGACACTAATAATTGATAATATTAGCACTGCACTGCGACTGTGGTCGGCGATTATCCCACTTCCAGGGCCAATCAGGCTAACAAATTATTTCAAACCTATTACAACTCCCTACAATGCTTCAAGCCCCAAGGCACCCCCGTTGGAGGGCCTATAACTAAACACTCCCTCCTTTTACAATAAGCCTCACTTTGCTTTTCAGCCTCTGAAGGAAATTTCCCTGTAGGATCCTTCACACCTAACCAATGCAACCGCACTATCATTATTAAACACCCCTCTAACCATCAGACTAACCAAGCTGACTACCAAGTATCACCTGAAGCAAATGGAATGTTTCTGCATCTGGCTTGTTTTACAGCCTATCCCCTAACCAATGCCTCTGAACTAACTTGTGCTGTCCCTGGTTCCCACCTTTTTCCATGGCTCAATGTCAATGATGCAACATCTGATCACATTAAACGTGTAAAAAATAACTCTTGCTATATCTCTACTATAGTGGATGTCTCTCTGGCCTCCTCCTTGTCCATCTGGAGTAATGAACCGCAGGAAAGAAACAACATCCAATTTTTAACACACTTATTCTCTTTCCATATCTCTGCCTGTATTTACGACAAAGGCTTGTTCTTTTTGTGTGGCACCAACACATATCTTTGTCTCCCCACCAACCGGACCGGAACCTGTTCTCTAGTTTATCTTTCCCCTTCCATTGGACTAGTTCCTCCTCATCAACCTTTGTCTATCCCATCCACCCAATATGTTAGGAAAAGGAGAGCCATCCACATCATTCCTTAATGGCCGCCTTGGGTATAAGCTCTGGACTTAGAGAGGGAGCAGGTGGATTAGCCACATACTTTAAGGTTCTTTCAACAGAACTACAGGGATCTCTAGAAGATATAGCCTGAAGCCTTGTAAGAGTCCAAGACCAACTAGACTCCTTAGCTGGTACAGTCCTCCAGAACAGACAGAGACTAGATCTTATAATGGTTGAAAAAGAGGGCATCTGCCTCTCACTGGGTGAGGAAAGTTGTTTCTGTCTCAACCAGTCGGGCCCAGTAAGAGGTGCTGCCGAAAAACTTAAAGAAAGGGCTAAAAAGCTAAGGGAATACCAACACAGTCAAATAGATTCTTGGTTTGGGAACAAAATCATAGCATGAGTCACCCCATTCCTGGGCCCTCTCCTAATGATATGCCTAGGACTAGTGTTCTTACCCTGCCTAATTAATCTTTTTCAAAGATTTTTAACCAACAGGATCATGGCCATTTCACAGACAACTACCCAAAAACATCTACAGATGGCATTACTCCTACAGTCAATCCGAGACCAGAAAACTCTCCACACTCCTCTCAGCAGGAATTAGCCAGAAAGAACACACCGTCCTCATCCTTTTATAACTATAGGATCTGGATTGACAGAGCAGGAGCATTGCCATCTTGGACAAGCACCACCATTTTAAAGTTCCCCTTGATCAAAAGCCACCTAAATCCAACCCAAAGGGCATCAGCCTAATGGCTAATGGCAGCATGACCTTAAACCACAAATGATACCTCTGACCAGAAACATTCCAACCCTGAGATAAACCCCTCTCCAACCAGAGACACACCAGCCCCAAGATAACCTCCCCTCTGACCGGAGAGATGCCAACCCCAAGATAACCTCCCCTCCAACCAGAGACATTCCAACCCCACAATAAAGTTCTCCTCCACACAGAAACATTCAAGCCTTTTGCCCCAAACCCTTAAATACTCTTAGTCTGTAAGAGAGAGGGCTCCTGACTGAAATCAGACAGCAGCCCTCTCAGGTTTATTCTCCAAAATAAACCTGTCTTTGACTGTTGAGCCACTTTTTGTGTTTCTTTCCTCTTTCTTTAACTCTTACAATAACACTGTGTGTATCACTATTTGGATTAACATAAATGAGAAAGGAGAGATAGAGACCGTGAACTAGGAAAATGGATGTGCATCATTTGGTGGAAGTATAAACACAATCTAAATTTACTCCATGCTCAAGCTCATAAATTATGATTATTGACAACATTATAATTTAGGTTGTTTTTATTTTGTGGAACTTTGTAGATTAACTAAGATTTCGTTAATATAGTATTTTATATTTACATGCAATGTAATCCTTTAGTAACCACAAAGTAGGTTGTTGAGAGGACCCACGATGTCATACATATAAAACACTTAGACTATTTTATGACATACATAGGCCTCAAATAAATGTTATCTAAGGGTATGACTTATATAATCTGTACTTGGGACTCCAGTTTCAATGCCCAAACTCTGGGAACCAAGTGTGGTCTACACTGAACATCATTTTTGCTTAAACTTGTTAGTCTTATACATCTTTACACCAATTCTAAGCATTAACGCTGCTTTCTTTTTCTTTCTTTTCTTCCTTTCTTTCTTTCTCTCTCTCTCTCTCTCTCTCTTTCTTTCTTCCTTCCTTCTTTCCTTAATTGTGGGAAAATAGAAATAAACTAAAACTCATCATTTTCACCTTTTTAAGTGTACAGTTCAGTGGCATTAAATACATTCACACTGTTGTACACAATAACCACCACAGATCTCCAGAACTTTTCCTCATCCCAAACTGGAACTCTGTAACCATAAACAACTCCTTATTCCCTCCTCCTCCCAGCCACTAGTGACCACCATTCTACTTTCTGTCTCTGACCACTCAAGGTGGTTTCATAAGGTAGAATCATACAATATCCGCCTTTTTTGTGACTGGCTTATTTCACTTAGCATAATGTCTTTACATTTCATCTGAGTTATAGTATATTTTCAGAATTTCCTTCCTTTTTAAGACTGAATAATATTCCATTGTATGTTTATACCACATTTTGCTTTTCCAGGCATCCATTGATGGAGATTTGTTTGTTTGTTTGTTTGTTTGTTTCACCTTTTGGCTACCGTTAATGTTTGTGCTATGAACATGGGTATACAAATGTATGTTCAAGTCTCTGCTTTCAGTTTTTTTGGATATATGACCAGAAGTGGAATCATGGCATCATATGATAATTGTATGTCTAAAGTTTTTGAGATATGGCTCTACCTTTTTCCACAACAGCTGCATCATTTTACATTCCTGCTAGCAAGGCACAAGGGTTCCAATTTCTCCACATCCACACCAACACTTATATTCTCTTTTTTCCTTTTGAATAATAGCCACCCTAACGTGTGTATGCACAACTACACATAAAAAAAAGGTGAATCTCGTAAAAGCAATATTTATCAAAGGAAAGAAACAAATCCAATAAATTATTTTATTTATATAAAATTTAGGACCATGCACACATTTTTAAAAAGTAAATAATTAGCACAAAATCAGAGTAATGTTTTCCTCCAAGGGAAAGATGGTAGGTAGAAGGTGCACACAGAGGGCTTCTAGGAAGCTGGATAAGCTTTTTAGTCTGCGTCATTAATTTTTATTAAACTCTATATACATGTTTATGCAACTCTGTGCTTAAGTTATGTGTCAGTCTAAAAGAAACGCTACTATTAAATCCTCAATTATGAAAGTCTTACTCTTCAGTCATGAGCTGAAGAATAGCAATACAAGTTGTTGATCGCTCTACTGGATAGAAATCCAGGATAAGAAATACAAATTGAATTTACTCTGAGAAATTTATCTTTCAAGACATATGAAGTATTTAAACTTAAGAGAGGTGAAGAACCTTTTTACTAATATAAATTTAAGATCCAATTCCCTTCAAAGATGTGGACTTTAGGGAAAAAATTAATTGTTGTTAAGGATTATGGTGATTATGGTGATTCTGCTCCATAGCAGCTTCATTAAAGGACCTAGTCTAAGTTCAAGATTAAAAGGTTATATGAAGCATATGTGTAAGAGCAGGACAGAGAAAAATAGCAAAAATATCTTCTTTTGAACCATGGGACTCTTTGTGAAGAAGTTTTATGGTGGCAAAGCCTCAAGAAGAACATCACCAGTGATGTTTTGTGGCAAGTTATATATATTAAAGTTAGTAAAGTTCGGAAATTGAATATGGTAGGCCTCTTGTGTATAACACAAAGCAAGACAATGAGGAAGAAGTAGGTATTTCATGGAAAAATAAAATACCCTGAGAAGACAAAAAGAGGGAGGGGAAGTGAATCATTGGTATAGTGAGTTACTAAAAGTGGCAAAATAGAGAATTAAAAATAATAAATAAGGCTTTTGTATCCTGCAGCTCAGAAGGATATGTTTGGTCCAGATTTCACCCCTGCAGATAAGCATTGAAAAAGGCATGAATGTGAAAGTGTGGTTTTGAGTAGCTTCATCAAAATTGTTTTCTCTTGAATTTTACGTTGACTAAAACAAATCTGGATCTAAGCAAATTGTTTTATATTGTGTTGTGAAATTGTCAAAGATAAAAACTCCTACACTTGTATAGGGCACTTATCATGAATGGAGCTTGCAGGACTGGAAGTTGCTCTGGGTGAATCAGCGAGTGAGTGGTGAGTGAATGAAGGTCTAGGCCTTTATTGTACACCATTAAGTATTTCGTAAAGACTGTACACGGCCTACACTAAGCTTACAGAAAAAAAAATCTTTCTTCAATGATGAATTTACCTTAGTTTAGTGTACCCTTTTTACTTTATAAACTTTCTGAATTATTATAAACTTTTTGACTCATGTAATAACACTTAGCTTAAAACACAAACACACTTAGAGTTATACAAATGTATTTTCTTTCTCTATATCTTTATTGTTTAAACTTTTTTCTAAACCTTTTACTTTTTATACTTTTTTTTTTTCTAAACAGTTAAGGTTCAAACACACACGTTAGCTCAGGCCTACACAGGGTCAGGATCATCAATATCATTGTCTTGCACTTTCCCATTTTGTCCCATTGGAAGGCCTTTAGGGGCAATAACACAAACACACATGGAGCTGTCACTTCCTATGATAACAATGTTTTCTTCAGGAATACCTCCTTAGGGATCTACCTGAGGCTGTTTTATGGTTAATTTTCTTTTTATAAGGAAGAGTACACTCTAAAATAACAATAAAATGCACTTAGCTGGTGCAGTCCTCCGAAACAAAGACTAGATCTTATAATGGTTGAAAAAAGAGGGCGTCTATATAGTGTATAGTATAGTATATACATATACCAGTACCGTAGTCATTTGTTGTCATTATTGAGTATTGTGTACTGTACATAATTGTATTGCTATACTTTTATGTGACTGGCAGCACAGGAGATTTGTTTGCGCCAGCATCACCACAAACTTGTGAGTAATGCATTATGCTACAATGTTACAATGGCTATTATATAGGGATAGGAAATTTTCAGCTCCATTATAATCTCGTGATGACCAACTTATATATGTTCCTTCCTTGACTGAACTGTCGTTATGTGGTGCAGGATTGTATTACACTGTGAGCTCTGGGTCCCATTAAAATTCTAGGAGAAGGTTGAATTTTTTGTATTAGCAAGAACTAATCTCATCAAGTTTAGAATGCAAGCTGTATCTCGCTTTCTGTGCGCCGTAGTTCTAACGTCATTATAGTTTTCAAAGACTTTGCCATGCTGTTCGTGCCTGCCCTGTGCCTGGGCCTCTCAGCCACTAGTCTGGCACTAGGACTGTGATATTTGTATCATAGTTCAGCTCCTAATGGCTTTGATATGCTGGTGTGAAACTGTCCCCCTCGTGCGGCTTGGGGAGCCCAAGACCCTGAGAGTTATGATGGTTCATGTATAGAATTAGGGATCCCTGTCTCTCACTCTCTCCTCTGAGATTTTTCCCACACTCTCCAGGTCCCATAGGTCCCTCTTACCGGTTCCTCTGGCCAGAAAGGTTGGTTTCTCTCAAAGTATTGTCATGTGATTCTGCACAACTGGGGCTTCCCTTGAGGCAAAGTGGGAAGAGAAAATTGAGCAAAAATATAAAGGGAAATACCCCATATTCCTTAGGCCACAGGGTTCCTTTTCCCTAGTTCTTTTGGGATGTTTCTTTCAGAGTTTTTGATGGTTCCACCACAGCAGCCTTAGTACAGCTTCCTGATTCTGACCACACTCAGGGAAGAACTAGAAGTGAAAAAAGAAGTAAAGTTCCAAAAAAGGAATATTGCTCCACACACTCTCTGGAGACCCCCTTTGCAATCTGTACAGAAAGAGGAGGTGTCTTTTGGAGTTTCTTCTCTCTGCTCTCACTGCACACTACATGTCTGGAGTTACCTTCAAGTCAAAGCCAGGAGACAAAAGAGGAAAAACCCTAGGAACTCACTCCCTTACTATTATTTCTCCAAGTTCTGACTTCCCTCCCTAATATTCATGCTATTTTGTACTTTTCAAGGTCCACAGATAGCTGCCTTTTATATTCTGCCTGATGTTTCCCATTATAATTAGTGTAAGATACAGACTATAGTGGGCTTATTCCAACTTGGCCGTCACAGAAAGATCCTCTTCAGCTTTGTTGTTGAAGGATGTTTTTCTGATTTTAGAATTCTAGGTTTGTGTTAGGGGTAGAAGTTTTCTTAGCGTATTTTAAGGTTTCATTCCATTTTCCTCCAGATTCCAAAGTTTCTATTGAAAGTCAGCCTTAACCTTTTTTGTTCTTTTTTTCCAAAGACAAGACACTTTCGTCTCTGGCTGATTTAAACATTTTCTCTTTATCTTTGGTTTTGAGCAATTTATTATTTTTTTTTACATATGGTTTTATTTCACTAGTCTATGATTGAGGTTGATAAGTTTCTTGTATCTGTGTTTTGACATCGTTAATCAGTTTTGGAAAATTTTCTGCCATTATCTTTTTGTTTTCTCTGCTGCACTCTTTATCCTTTATTTTTATGTACAATTGTAAGTATATTTGACCATTAGATAATGCCTACATGTCTCTGATGCTGATATCTTTCTTCTTCATTTTATCTTGTGCTATGCTTCAGAGTAGATGCTTTCTATTAAACTGTCTTCAAGTTAACTACTACTGCATTTGCCTGTGACCAGTCTGCTGTTAAATTCACCCATTAAGTTTTAATTTTAGATGACGTACTCTGATTTCTTTTATTTAGATTCCGTATCTAAAAGATTCCACATTCATATTCTTTTTTAGATTGTAAATCTTTTTCTTTACTATATATTCCTTGATATTTATGAATATATGGTTAAATAGAGTTAATTTAAAGCTCTTTTGTGCTAAGTGATTAAGTCTAGAAAGAGCTTTGTGTCTCCCAAAAAATTGTGGGTGAGGTTGTTGGCATTCAGAGTATCATGGGATCAAATATATAAAAAACTCACAACATTTTTTATTCAGCTGTATTGGTAAAACTGCCACCAGTCTGGACTGAAAGAGACTGAGGTTGTTTAAAATGTAAAAGGGCAATGGATCTGCAACTCTCTATGTAAAAGAAACAGGCTGAGAAAGTTGTTCAAAGTGCCGATCATCCTATGTGCTCTTTAAAGGTGGCCAAGGAGGGAAACAGAAAAGGAAGTACTTTTCAAAGGGAAGAGCACAGAATTCTGAGGACAGGTAGACTAATGAGAAACTCCCAAGGAAAGGAGTCAGGGGCTAACCAAGGAATATTGTCCACCCCTAGAGGGGATGTGCAAGGCAGCATTTGTTCAGTGGAATTTCAGAATTGCCAGGGATCAGTGACTGTTAAGTCCCCCATTCTTTCCGTTTTTGAATGGGCATGTTTACTATCATTATCCTGACCCAGTTTCAGCACTGTGTATTGAGTGCTGATGGAAAGACAACTTTGTTTCTATTGTTGTGGCTTGTATGTCTTAGAATTAACGAAAGAGGAGGCCGGGCGCAGTGGCTCAGGCCTGTAATTCCAGCACTTTGGGAGGCTGAGGCAGGTGGATCATGAGGTCAGGAGATGGAGACCATCCTGGCTAACACGGTGAAACCGTGTGTCTCTACTAAAAATACAAAAAATAAGCCAGGTATGGTGGCACACGCCTGTAATCCCAGCTATTCAGGAGGCTGAGGCAGGAGAATCACTTGAACCCAGAAGGCAGAGGTTGTGGTGAGCCGAGGTGGCGCCACTGCACTCAGTCGACAGAGTGAGACTCCATCTCAAAACAAACAAAAAAAAAAAAAAAGAAAGAAAAAGAAAGAAAGAAAGAAAGAAAAAGAAAGAAAGAGAAAGAAAGAGGAAAGAAACACACGAAAAGGTGGCTCACCAGTCACGGCACACTTATTTTAGAGAAAACAAACCTGAGAGGCGCCTTCTGGCCGAGTTAGGTCAGAGGCACGCTCTCTTATAGACTAAGTTTTTTAAGGATTCAGAGTGGGAGAGTTTATCCAAGGCTTGGACTGCTTCTGTGTCTCTTTGTTGTGCTTATCTAGGAGGGAGAGTTGTGTGTCTGTTCCCATACATCTTTTTTGCAGCTGCAGGCATATCCCCAGAGTCTGCTTTTAGCTTCCCTATCTTAGTGCACCTGAAGGGAAAGGAATGTGCTTATTAAGGCCCACTGTTTTAGGGCCCATTGTATGGGGGTGAAGTTTGGCAGTTACCCAGGGGACCTTCCCCCAACCTTTCTCTGTGCCCAAACTCTCTTATCTGTGTTTTACTGTCTGCTCTTTCTGGCTATTTGTAGTTAGAAGAGAAGTGATTTCCTTGAAATGCATGAGGCTAGAAAGGGAGCTGGAATTTAAAGTGGCGGTGTTTGTCCGAGATGACAGGGCTCCAGCTCTATCAGTATGTTTCTGGATTAAGGAGAACTGCATTCTGACCTGCATCCTGATTGTGAGATTTTGAACTTGATGGCTGATGCCATGATTGCATGAGACTTCTGGTGATCCCAGATTAGGGGTAAGCATATTTTTCATATTGGAAGAATATGAAAAATTGTAGCAATAAAAGTGGACTCTAATAGATTATGATGATGATCCTAATTCATCATCCCTCCCTATATCCACGCCCTTTGCAATCTAACTTTACTATGCTCTCCCATTATGGATGGGTGACTTGAATTGCCTCTCAACATTAGGCCTAACCATGTGTTCCTCTACAGCCAAGGAGTTATTAGCAAATGTCACACACTCTGGGCCTTGAAATTGGCGTATGTATTGGAGCTAACATTTTGCTTGCTTCTGCATTGCCATAAGGACATTTCTAGGCAAGTCCACCGGCCCTAAGAAGAGGATGAGAGGCATGTGAAGAAGAGTCCACCTTGGATACATAGGTGAGCTTGGCCAAGGTTAGCAGTGCCACCTAGCTGACCCAGACATATAAGCATATTGTTATCTGCCACTGGTGATTTGTGTTGTTTGTAATGCAGCATTGTTGTGACAACAGATGACTAATACACTAACTAATGTACCTTTTAAAATGTTGTCTATGATCTGTTCCTGCACCACTAAAATATACGTCCCATGAGGACAGGAATAATTTTTTCTGCCTTATTTCTGTTGTATCTTTAGTACCTCCAACACTTTCTGGCACAAAGCAGTTTTCTCAAATATATATATACACACATATGTATATATGTATATATATATTTAAACAGAGTCTCATTCTGCTGCCCAGGCTGGAGTGCAGTGGTGCAATCTCATTTCACTGCAACCTCTGCCTCCCAGGTTCAAGTGATTCTCCTGCCTCAGCCTCCCAAGTAGCTGGGATTACAAGCATGCACCACAACACCTGGCTAATTTTTGTATTTTTAGTAGAGACAGGGTTTCACCATGTTGGCCAGGCTGGTCTCGAACTCCTGACCTCAGGTGATCTGCCTGCCTCAGCCTCCCAAAGTGCTGGGATTACAGGTGTGAGCCACCACGCCCAGCCAAAAATATTTTTAGTGAATAATGAATTTCAAATTTTAAAAACCTTCTTATGAAAAGACCTCTTGGAGAGTTTAATGTACATACATATTCCAGAGTTTGGACAATTCAGTAGATTGGTACCTGGGGTATGCTGAAGAATGCTGAAGTCCAAGAGTCAACTTAGCTACATGTTTTTGAAACAGAAAAAATTCCCTTGTTCCCCTTGCAGGGAGTGCGATGTGGCTCTCTTCTCCAGTGCCCGCTGCTCAGACCTCCAGGGGAGCATACAGATGGTCAGGCTGTGAGGCTCTGATCCCACAGCAGTGTCTGGGGGTGAATGTTTACAGCTCCTGAAGCCCCAGTGGGTGTGTTCCTCTGCTGATGTGCTCTCTCTCAACGTCCAGCAGCTTCTGTCCCTGCCTTGCTAGGGTCTCAGGTTTTTATAGGCACAGGATGGGACATGGCAGGCCAGAGTGGTCTTGGGAAATGCAACATTTGGACAGGGAATGCCTGTTCTCACCTAGGTCCGTGGGGATGGAGCCCTAGCCAGGGACCATACCCTCCTCTACCCAGCACTTCTGCTCCCTGCTTCCCTATCATTTAAAGGGACCACACTCTTGCCTTCCTAGCACTCACGTACCATTTTCAAGCAGAGAAAAGAACAAGTAGCTACACTAGGATTTGCCTGACTTCCAGAAGGAAAGAGATTCATCTTTCCTTGGCAATCGACATAGACCAAAAGTAAGGGAAAGGTCTGGGGTCTGCTTGTCTTAGTATCTCAAGGCAGCCTCCAAGAGAAACAGATCATAGAAGAAAGAGGCTGCTAGTATTCCAGAGTGCCTAGTGACTGAGAATTCCATGAGAATGGAGATGCAGTAGCCCTCACCGGGCTCTGAACTAGGGGAGTGTGGATTCTCAAAGAATTCATGAAAATGTTCACAATAGAGTCTTCTTATGCATCTGTTTTCCCTACAGCATTCAATTCAAGCACATGAAATATCAGGCAAGTAAAAACTGTCCTCTTCTGCTCTTCATGCCTCAACTCGCAGGGGTCTGAAACTATATCACGTAGAAGAATTAGAAGCACAAGCTGTAGAAACAAAAGAAGCTAATTTTGCACCTTCACTGTTTGTGAGCTTCTCATCTGCAACACTCTTGAATAAGCAAGAGTGTGAGGCCTCCGTTTTGAATAAAATATAGAAATTTGACTATTGAATGGGACTAATTGAATACCTTTCTTTTTTTACTTAAACATTATCAGAGAGGTTATGAAGCCTTCCTGAATGCTCATTCAAGGTAAGGAATTGGCTAACCCCAAAGAACACATTGAAAAGAAAAAATGGTAATAGGATTAAATTAAATACGTTTTATTACATTGCATCAGTTTAGATGTTCAATATATGCTTTTTTAATAAAGAAAAGTTTATTTGGCTAATGATTTTCAGGTTGTACAAGAAGCATGGCACCAGCATCTGCATCTGATGAGGACCTCAGGGTGCTTCCACTTGTGGCAGAAGAAGGGGAGCTAGCATGTGCAGATGCCACATGGCGAGAGATAAAGGAAAGGAAAGAGGAGGAAGGTTCCAGGCTCTTTTTAACAATCGGACCTCACAGGAACTAATAGTGTGAGAAGATGTTTAACATATTCTAATAAGAAAGATATTCCTAATAAACTGCCGTGAGATAACTGCTATATTGGTCTGTTCTCACGCTTCTAATAAAGACATATCCAATACTGGGTAATTTATAAAGGAAAGAGGTTTAATGGACACATAGTTCCACATGGCTGGGGAGGCCTCACAATCATGGTGGGAGGCAAAAGAGAAGCAAAAGCATGTCTTACATGACAGCAGGCAAGAGAGAGTTTGTTCAGGGGAACTCCCATTTACAAAACCATCAGATCTTGTGAGACTATTACAAGAACAGCACAGGAAAGTCCCACTCCCCTGATTCAATTACTTCTGACTGGATCCCTCCCAAGTCACGTGGGAATTATGGGAACTACAGTTCAAGATGAGATTTGGGTGCGGACACAGCCAAACCATATAAACTGCAGTTTATTTTTTCATTATGACTCATATCATAAAGAAAAAGAGTTGCTCCAATAATCTGTACCCCATTTCATATTCATAAGGAAAACATTCTTTTCTTGGCTAATTGTTCATGTTTAAATAAAAATCTTATAATTTTACAAGGTTTTGTCTTTTACACTTGATGCTGAAATCAAGAAGTCTTTTAAAAAATAATTTTCTTTTTTTTTTTTTTTTTTTGAGACGGAGTCTCGCTCTGTCGCCCAGGCTGGAGTGCAGTGGCGCGATCTCGGCTCACTGCAAGCTCCACCTCCCGGGTTCACACCATTCTCCTGCCTCAGCCTCCCGAGTAGCTGGAACTACAGGTGCCCGCTACCACGCCCGGCTAATTTTTTGTATTTTTAGTAGAGACGGGGTTTCACCGTGTTAGCCAGGATGGTCTCGATCTCCTGACCTCGTGATCCGCCCGCCTCGGCCTCCCAAAGTGCTGGGATTACAGGCGTGAGCCACCGCGCCCGGCCTAAAAAATAATTTTCTTTTAAAACTTTGAGTACAGCTTTTCACTAGGATTGCCAACATGATGAAACGAAGATTTCTCTTATTTAAAGAATATATTAAAGTGTTTATTATTAATTACTCTTTTAATGTAAAGATTTTTGTCTTTTATGGTAATTTGACTTGTTTTGGTTTGGTTTCCATTTGATACTGAGGATGAAGGGAAATTAGAGCAGAATTGCTTATTTACATTATTTCAAACTTCCAACCATGAAAGGAAAAGGTTTGGGATCTCGTTTGTAAAGCCAAGTGTGTGTGTGTATGTGTGTGTGTGTGTGTGTGTTTGAAAGGGGCTTATTTACACTGGGTTTTACTTTGGTATGGAGGTAACTCTTATCCAAGTGTGGTTGGTTCGAAGGACAAGTAGGGATGATAAGAGGCTGCTTGGCACTAAGGATTAGGTAGAGTTGGGGCTGAGTCATGGTTGTGTGGAAAGCTAGGATCATGGTTGGGGATGGAAGGAGGCTAAATCTGCTACACAATTTGAAACTAGGGCATGATAGTGTGGCAAAGAAGAGATAGAGCTTGAAATAGAAGTAGTTACTTATTTAGCATGTGTATTAATTACTATATGATTAGTTCAGTGTCATCTGACTAAAATGGAGATTAATGTACTAATGATTAATTTATATGGGTTTTGTTTATATTATTATCTAATACAGGCTACTTAATAATCTGAGTTAGAGAGACAATGTTTTATGAGACAAATAAGGTTGCTGCTATCAAAGAAATCAAATAAATGAAGAATGATTATCATATAATAATGAGTGCTCTCTGAGGAGAAAAAACAAAAGTAATTGGGAGTGATTTGAGGGAACTTCTTTAGGTTGAGTGACTAGAAATTGTTACTCTAGAAATACTCTATTTGAAAAGAGACCTGAATGCTAAGAAAAAGCCAGCTATTCAAAATCTATAGCAAACCACTCCACACAGCAAGAACATAAGTGAAAACTGCTAATGAAGAAACAAATCTGCATGTTAGAGAAACAGATAGGGAGTTAGTGTACTGAAGTTTATTGAACGGCAAAAGAATGTTATATTGTGGAATAAGTAAAACCATGGAGAAAAACACATTGTAGAAGAGCTACTCGGATTGCCCTATGATTTTCTGGAAACTTCCTGGCCACAGCCGACTGAAAGGGACATTGTGGTAATGCTGGCTTCTCTAGACTGAAACCAAAGCCTATGGCTTGAAAGATTAAAAAGAGATAATGAGCTTACCATTCATTAAAGAAAGCAAGCCATAAAAATAGCTTAAAATATGGAATAAGCGACAGGCATGTCAATTATTTCTCCTTGGCACTGGATTAACAAAAAGTTGTTGTTGGTGGTGGTGGTATATTAAGTAGAAAAGGTCTATTGGGCCTAAAAATTATTGACATGTGGCCGGGCGCGGTGGCTCACGCCTGTAATCCCAGCACTTTGGGAGGCCGAGGCGGGCGGATCACAAGGTCAGGAGATCGAGACCATCCTGGCTAACACAGTGAAACCCCGTCTCTACTAAAAATACAAAAAATTAGCTGGGCGAGGTGGCGGGCGCCTGTAGTCCCAGCTACTCGGGAGGCTGAGGCAGGAGAATGGCGTGAACCCCGGGGGCGGAGCCTGCAGTGAGCCGAGATCGCGCCACTGCACTCCGGCCTGGGCGACAGCGAGACTCCGTCTCAAAAAAAAAAAAAAAAAAAAAAAAAAAAAAAAAAAAAAAAAAAATTATTGACATGTACATTATCTATTCTGTAATGAGGCCATCCCTCCTAGTTTCCATTGCAGAGGATTGGATCTGGAAATTGTGTTACTAAGAAAAATGCAGGAGAAGGTTTGAGTGTCCCTATTCCCATATGTAGTGGATTGTCATGCAACATACCTCTCAACCTCTTCCAGTGCATTTCTCCTGTACTGCAAAAGATGTGCAACTGAAAAGAACATTTCCTGGATAGCATTTGATGTCATTTAGATTTAGCCAATCAGAGGCATTCTGGTAAATTTTGGACATGCTGAGGGTCTTTTTTTTTTTTTTTTTTTTTACCTGAAAAGGCACCAGTGTAGGGGTGCCTTATTTTCTGTGTCAGAATTAGGAGAGATTTTCATGTCTGATAACTGACTTCATGGATATAAAGAGGCAGCATGCAGCGTGTCTGTTACTGGTGCAGATTGTAGCAGGTGATCGTGGGGGCTTACTGAATGGAGGAGCTTCCCAAATATGGCTGCTCTGGGCAGCATGAGTTCCTGATTGTAGAAGAGGAGGTGGTTTCCTTGGTTGCCTGATTCAGTTCCTTCTATTGTCCTGATGATTCTCTAAGCTATATTAAGGTCTGTAATAAACTCCTTTCCACTCAAAATCAACTAAGGTAAATTTTGTTCTCTGTAGCTATTCAATACTCCATGTCTACCACTTGAACAGACAGAATAAAAAACCTCTTTGATGGCAACTCAACACCCTCTTCTGTAATAAATAAATAAATTGTGACTTGAACTCCTACTCTAGTTGGCACTATATGTAGGAATATGGATTCTGGGGTCGTGTCTGTTTTCAGTGATCATTTATTACCTTGATCAGAGGGAGTCCTCAGCATCTTTGCCCTCAAGGCCAAGACACGAAGACCCTCCTCCCAATTGCCCCTGAAATTGATCTTCTTCTTGGGAATTTTCGTTCAGCACACTGAGTCCCAATGGGCAACTGATTGCCTCTTTATTTTTTCATGGAGAACCAGAACAGAATGGAAGACTTGAGCAACATCAAAGAGTTAGCTATATTTGAAATCCATATAAAACTTACATTTTGAGTAATGAATAGGATACCATAGAGAACCCATCTCTTCTTGACATGTTTTCCCTGGTTCATAGAAATTAGATAGTAATTATTTTCTCTTGTTTCTGGCATTAAAAACCTAAGACAAAGTCTTAGAATAAGAACTTCAATATTGGCATATCTGGTGGGAAAAACAAAACAAAAATGGCAGCTATAACATCTACTAGGTGTTTATTGTATGTCCCTTCCAATGCAGTACAGACAGAAAAAGAAGAAGCTATAAAGTTTGAAGAGAAAGAAAAGCTATCATTTTTAGCAGATGTTATAACTATGAACAAAGGAAATACACAAAATAATTTCAAAGGTAGACTATGCAATTGATAAGAGTGTGTAGTGAGATTGTTGATTTGAAGGTCTTGTATGATAAAGCATTGTATTTCTGTAGAAAATACAATATTGAAGATTTTTAAAATACCATTTTAAACAACATCATTTCATATTCATAAAAGGGAAATGTGGAAAACACAAAAGTTAATACTGAATAATAATGATGGAATTCTGCCTTATGAAAATATTACCACCACTACCACCATATATGTGTCAATGGACAAAAATAGCCAAGAAAATTTTGCAAAGGAAAATCAAGAATGAGGAAGAGGACACCCTAGATATCAAAGTATATTATAAAATAATAATGTGTGATATTGGCCCAGGAGTACCAAAACATTCCCAAGAAAGGACGAAAGATTTGAGAGACAGGTGAATTCCTGAAGAAAAAGTCATCATGTAGTCAACCAGCAAATATTTATTAAGCACCTACTGTATACCAGGCAGTGTTCTAGGTACTTAGAATATTGTTGAACAAAATAGACAAGGTCTCTCTTTTGATTTTATACTCTAAATAAATAGATGAATAAATGATAGATAATAATTGTAGATCAATAGATTGACAGAGACCAGAAAAATAAGAGATTATATATTTATATTATGATCAATTAAGTGAAAACAAAATGACCAGGTAGAATAGACAATTTCATTGAATTGATTTGTTGGTTTAACTGGCATATTTCATTTCTTCAGTAAACAAGCTGATGCCCGTGACATGCCAACAGCTCACAGCTGTTCTTTGGCCTTCCTGTATATTTCTGCTTCCATTAGTTGAGTTTAATGTTTGCCAAAAGTTGCTGGCGTTTGCTCACAAATCTGTTCATCTCTATTGACTTGTTATTGTAATTATATATTTAAATAAAGTAAATATTTCATTATGAATTAAGAATGAATTTTAAAAGGGAAATTTTAAGTTCTTAAACCATTAAATGCTTTGGAAATAATAACGATAAGTTGTCTAATAAAATATTATTAAATTGGATATAGGTAAAATAACTTTTAAAATGGAGAAAATGAGGTGAAAATCTAAAGGGTTTCTAAATTCAGAATTCTTTGTAATGTTTCACTCTAAATTCTCATAAACTTTTTAAAAAACTAAAATTTGATACGATAGAAAGTTTGTTATGGGTGTTGTTTAGCCATTTAAGATAACCTAAAACTCTAAACAACAGATACATTCTCCAAGTGAAGGTTTGGTTCTATGTCAACATACTGCCAAACAAATATACATGTATACATGTATTTACTTCAGTTAAAATAAAATGTTTACCACATTATATATTTACAAATCATTCTAACTATTCTCAACTGCAATTGACTTTTAAAAATAATTGTTCAACTACCAGGTCTCACAATTGAATATATGGCTTTCACAAATGTGATAACTGATATGAAGAAAATTAATATTTAACTAAGAATAACTGAGTGGCAACTCCAAATTTGGTCATCAGGAAAATCTTTTCTTAGGTTATATTTAAGTTGAAACAAAAATAACATAAAGGAGCTAGAAAGAAGACAATGTACATGTAACAATCAGGAAAAGAAATATTCCAGGCAGAAGGAACCATCCTAACGTAGACTAAACCTGAAATGTTAAAAAAGCAGAAATGAGGTCAGTGGCAGAGATGGCTGGATTTCCACCAAAATTTGTGCACTCCTCCTCCTGCTGCTTAGTGATATTGCTCAGAAATGGCAGTCCAAGTAAGGACTCCACTTTCACGCATTTTCATCTAGGTGGGGTCACATCACTAGTTCTCACCATGAAATGTGACTGAAAGTGAAGTGTGTTGCTGGCACACCAAGGAATTAAGTAATAAGTGTGCCTTCTCCACCCTCTCTCTTTTGCCTTTCATCATTGGAAGCAGAGAGCAGAAGTCCAGTAAAAGAGCAGAATCACAGCATGTGAAGGGCCTGGGTTCCTGAGTCACTATGTGGAGAAAAATATCTAGACTATTAACAATCTGGCAATGGACTGTTATGTGAATAAGAAGAGAATGTCTATTTAGCTAGTCCCCTGAAATTTTTATCTTTATTCCGTATAGCAGCTGGTGTTACCCAAACTAATAAAATGAGACAGTTAAAAGGTAGACAGTGAATTCAGTAGTATGGGCAAAGAGCAGATCACAGAAGATTTTATTAGCCAGGCAGAAGATTTGATTAGCCAGGTAAGAAATCTAGGTTTAATTCTAGATGCTATAAGAAAACATGTGAGGTGTTTAATCATGATACAGATGTGGTAGAGATTAAGTTTTATAAACATTTCTAGCAGTTGTGTGGAAAATGAACTGTAGGAATCAAGAAGGAAGTAGGGGGATGGGGTAGGAGGCTATTTCAACAATTCAGGAGGAATACGGCAGTATGCTAAAGTCAAGTGGCTACAAAGAAGATGAATAAAATGGACTAAGTTGAGAAATATTTTATCATTTAATTGATAGAATTCACCAACTGGCTGAATGTGGAAGTTGAGAATGTGACAAATCAAGGATAATTCCTCCTTCCCCTGATGCCTTTCTGTTATTTCTTTTATTAAATAAAACCAGTGATGTAAACTAAAAAGTGTGGAAGAAGCTAAAGGCAAGATACTCCCACACATCTGAAGTCATAGATAGGTAGGATCTAGTATTTCATAACTGTCCAATCTGATTATTTAAACCTTAAATAGGGGCAGGACTCCAAGAGCTAAGCTGCTATTGACTCCTCACTAGAAAACCTTAATAACAGAGCATCTTGGGGATCTATACCTGAAAACGTTCATAACAAAAGAGACTCACATGGACATGACAAATCTCAAATGATATTGATATCTGCCCTAATTTTGCCAACCACATTTTCCTTGATGACTCCCTCCAAAATAGACAGTAGTAGCAGACACATGTTGGGGACTGTGTGTGAGGAGTGCCCTGTTACATAACTCCAGCTGCTTTTGCATTTGGGTCCTAGTGACTCGTTCTTTCTCCATAAGAGATCACATCCCCATGAAACAGCAGCGGGCAACAGATTTCACCTAGCGTTTCAATATCTCATCACATTGGGCAGAAGTGATCGTTGATTATAGTTTCATTGTGGTTATGTTATTATTTCCACCTGTATTGAAGGTAGATTTATCTATTATTTCATCATAGTTTGTAGGACCAATAAGAGTCATGTTCAAAGCAGTTAAGGAGAAATTCATATCACCAGAGTTCCTGGAGTTGGAGGTTTTTATAATTTGGGATTTTCTCATTTTAGAATGGGACAAATGAAGCTTCAGTTGTGTAAGAACTACATATATTATACTAAAAGGGAGCATCTTCTGAATTTTTTAATGTGAAAAGGAACAGAGAGAAACAGAGAGAGAAAGAGGGAGAGAGACTTCATATATAAGAGCCTTGTATAATAGATTATGATAGTTATTATTTTTATTGCCACTACTATTATGACCTATCCAGCCTTGGTCTTTTTCCATCTTTGTTTAGGAAAAAGAAAATCTGTATTCCTGACACAGAAGTGGGTTCAAATCTAAGGCCTGGTTAATCAGAGTCCCACATCCCATGGCTAAAGTGATTGGTTGAGAAACTGGAATGCCACTCAAGCTAAGCTTTCGTCAGATTATCAAAATGGAGCTGACATGTTTGATCTGTTGCTATTCAGATGATGAGCTGAAAATATGAGATGTCCATCTTCATAGCCATGTAGGAAATGTTTGACTTCCATAGGAGAAAATAAGGGTAATCAATAGGAAAAAAGCCGAACTCAAAGAGACCTACACAGAGAACACAAGCAAGAGACAAAGAAATACATACACACAAAGAGAAACAGAGACTGAAAGATGCAGGGAAATAAACAACATAAACATAAAATATAGACAAAGAAAAAGACAATGGACAGATGGAATGACAGAGAAAAAATGGCAGTGAGGCACACAGGCCAGTAGAGAGATGGAAGGGGGGAAAAGAGGTGGACAGAGAGACAACCCAAGAGGCAGATAATAAATTATATATACACACACATACATATACATATACACACACACATATATATGTAAGAGAGAGTCACAGAGAGAAAAAGAAACAGCGATTCAGAGAAATGGATATAAGGGAAAATGCAAATCGAAGAAAGAAAAGCTATCAAATATATTAATGGGGAGGAGGTCTTTCAGACAGAGATAGAAAAGAGATTTGAAGAGAAAGGAAGAGACAAACAGTCAGAGAGAAATATAGAGTAGAATGAAACAGAAGTGCACTGACAGAAGGGAATGAGGGCAGAAGGGGGAGAGAAGGGTCAGAGAGAGAGAGGGAGGGAAATGAAAGAGAAGAGAGAAAAAGGTCCCATTTGTGTCCAGTATCTAAGCGTTTTTCAGAAGCTAAATTCACCTAGAAACTTTGATTGCATGAGCCCCAAAATTAATTTTTCCCCTTAAGATGGTCTAATAGAGTTTCCATTATAAGCTACCAAAATACTACTTTCTAATAAAACCTCCATTGGTAATTATACAATTGGGGAGGTTGGATGGAATCAACAATCATTGTCTTTTGCCCTGAAGAACACGGTGTGCTCACCAGAAGATATTTGTGGTGCCGTTTGGTTAAGTTATGGCATTAGGTACCATGACTGGTGCAAAACAATTCTACTTGCACAAATAAGTGAAACTAATCAGACTATTGCAGAAGCCAGGAAAGACTGCTGCACACAATCCCAACTTCCAAGCCCCACTGATAATGGAAAATTAAATTTATTTCATATCTCATTTCACATTCTTATGTAGCACCTGACTTAGACCAAGTATGGGGACTCATGATTTTTGAGTGTCCTTTCCTGGACATTGTCTTCTTTGGGGGTCATAACTGAACTAAAGTTCTAGAATCTGATCCCTTTCTTAGCTCAATGTTTCCCACCAACACCACTACCCTACTCAATCAGAATTAGAAACACAAGTGACTCACAAATCTATTTAATTTTGAAAAACTAATTATTGAATTATAAGAAGTTTGACATTTAGTTCATGATCAGTCTTCAGAAACAGAAGAAGGTAGTAAAAGCTTATGAAAGTACTTATGGTCCAAACAGGGACAGCAGACAGCAGAGAGCAGAGCTCTCATTATCATGGTAGTGAGCAAACATTTAGGAAATTTCTTGCAGGCAGGAATTTAGGAAAGACAAGAACAAGCAACAACCTGGCAGCCACTTCTCAGTCACCATGGGAGTCATGTCCTGATGGGTGACACAGCTGGCAGAAATGGCTTGCTCACAGGCCTGACAGAAGAGTAGCTGGGAATTACAGACAAGAGTAAAGCCAAGACAAGACAAGAAAGAGGTGACAGATCCCAGAAAGAAAAATGTTTGCAGTCAATGCGTGAGCCCTCTAGGAGACAGAAGAAACAATCACATGTCACACCAACCCCTGAAGAAACACAGTCCCTCCCTCCCTTGGGGCCTCTCTGCAGTTGTCAGGACACTAAGGTTGAGCTTATGTCAACACCTGCTCCTCGTTACCTTTCCTGGTAACTGAGTAGAGATGGCAACAGGAATGCCTCATTTTATTGTGCTATGCTTTGTTGTGCTTCTCAAATATTGTGGTTTTTTAAAAATTGAAGGGTTGCACCAAGCAAGTCTATCAGCACCATTTCACCAACAGCATGTCCTCACTTTGTGTCTCTGTGTCATATGTTCGTAATTCTTGTAATATTTCACGTTTTCATTACTATTACATGTCGATCTGTGATCAGTGACGTTTGATGTTACTGTTGTAATTGTTTTGGGGCACCATGAACTGAACCCATATAAGACAATCAACTTTATTGTTAGATGTTGTGTATGTTCAGACTGCTCCACTGACCAGCCATCCTCCCTCTCTTTCGCCCTCTCCTCAGGCCTCCCTATTCCCTAAGAACACAAGAACATTAAAATTGGGCCAGTTAGTAACCCTACAATGGCCTCTAAGTAAAGTCACTTGTCTCTCACTTTAAATCAAAAGCTAGACATGATTAAGCTTAGTGAAGAAGACAGGTCAAAAGCCAAGATGGGCTAAAATCTAGGTCTCTTGCTTTCAACAATTAGTCAAGTTGTGAAAGCAAAGGAAAAGGTCTTGAAGGAAAGAAATTAAAACTGCTACTCAAGTGAACATACAAATGATAAGAAAGTAAAACAGTCTTATTGCTGATGTGGAAAAAGTTTGAGTGATCTGGATCGATCAAACCAGCCACAACATTCCCTTAAGCCAAAGTCTAATCCAGAGAAAGGCCCTCATTCTCTTTAGTTCTATGAAGGCTGAGAGATGTGAGGAAGCTGCAGGAAAAAAGTCTGAATCTAGCAGAGGTTGATTCATGAGGCTTAAGGAAAAAAGCCACCTTCATAATACCAAAGTACAAGATGATGTAGCAAGTGGTGATATAGAAGCTGTAGCAATTTATCCAGAAGATCTAGCTAAGATCACTGATGAAGGTGGCCATATTAAATCATAGATTTTCAATAGAGATGAAACAGCCTTCTATTGGAAGAAGGTGTCTTCTAGGATTTTCAGAGTTAGAGAGAAGTCAATGCTGGCTTCAAAACTTCAAAGATCAGGCTGACTCTCTTGCTAGGGACTAATGCAGCAGGTGGCTTTAAATTGAAGCCAGTGCTCATTTACCATTTCAAAAATACTAGGGCCCTTAAGAATTATGCTAAATCTACTCCGCCTGTGCTCTATAAATGAAACAACGAAGCCTGATAACAGCACACCTGTTTAAAATATAGTTGGCTGAATATTTTAAGCCTATTGTTGGGACCCATTGCCCAGACAAAGACATTCCTCTCAAAATACTACTACTCATTGACAAGGTACCTAGTCATCCAAGAGCTCTGATGAAGATGTACAAGGAGATGAGTGTTGTTTTCATGCCTGCTAATGCAACATCCATTCTGCAACTCATGGATCAAGGGGTAATTTTAACTTTCAAGTCGTGTTATTTAATATATTACATAAGGCTATTGCTGTCAGAGACAGTGATTCCTCTGATGGATCTGGGGAAAGCAAATTGAAAACCTTCTGAAAAGCCTTCACCATTCTAGATGTCATTGGGAACATTCATGATTCATGGGAGAAGGTCGAAATATCAACATTAACAGGAGATTGGGAGAAGCTGATTCCAGCCCTCATGGATGACTTTGAGACGTTTAAGACTTCAGTGGAGGAAGGAACTATAGATGTCATGGAAATAGCAAGAGAACTCGAATTAGAAGTGGAACCGGAAGATGTAGCTAAATTGTTGCAATCTTATGATAAAACTTGAATGGATGAGGAACTGCTGCTTGTGGATGAGCAAAGAAAGTGGTTTCTTGAGAGGGAATCTACCCCTGGTGAGATGCTATGAATGTTGTTGAAGTGGCAGCAAAGGATTTAGAATATTACATAACTTAGTTGAGAAAGCAGCAGCAGGGTTTGAGAGGATTGACTACAATTTTGAAAGAAGGTCTACTGTGGGTAAAATGCTACCAAACATCATCACATGCTACAAAAAATATTTCATGAAAGGAAGAGTCAATCTATGCAGCAAACTTCATTGTTCTTTCATTTTAAGAAATTATCACAGCCACCTCAAACTGCAGCAGCAGCCATCAACATCAAGGAAAGAACCTTCTATCAGCAAAAAGATTATAACTCACTAAAGGCTCAGAGGATTGTTAGTATTTTTAGCCATAAAATATTTTAATTAAGGTATGCACTTTTTTAGACATAAGGCCATTTCACACTTAATAGACTACTATATATTGTAAACATGACTTTTATATGCACTGGGAAACCAAAAGATACGTTTGACTTTCTTGCAGTGCTGTCTGGAACCAAAATCACAATACATCTGAAGTGCACTTTACTCTGTTAAAGTGAACACAAAACATCAGCTTGAAGGGGCCTGTGGAAGGCAGAAGAGGATGTCGAAATGCTTTGGTGATGCACAGGTCGTGGACTAACTGGAATGGTAACAACTGTAATTCCCTCTCATCTCACCTATCACCAAGTTCAGCAGCACTCTCTGCAATTTGGGGATTTGGGGGCATCATCTAAGCCTCACTGAATGACTGATACCACAGGTCGGGTCTTATTCTGAGGAATAATCCCTGAAGTTTAGAGCAGAGACTTTTCAGAACATTCCAGAATTTTTCCAGAATTTTTTCCAGAATATTCCAGAATTTTGTTTCATGCCACATTCATTCAGGAACAGCAAAATAACTGAAGCATGTTCAGGTGTCCAGAGAAACACACTCAACTCTTTTTTCCACCTTATGTGTGTCATATTTCTGGGCAAGGAGAGCAGGGATCTTACCTGTGAGTGGAGCCCTGTCTATTTAAGAATAACCCTCCACCACTCCCTTCTGTAATGATGCAGACATGACCCAGGCCAGGGAGCTCTCAATGCTCCTAATTTCTGTGATCTATTTCCATCCCCACCTTAGCTGCCTTTCCATTACAGAGTCAGACAGGACGAGTTACAACAAAAAGCCTCAGTCCCAGCACCAGTCTCTCCATCTTCTTCAAAGGTGCCTTACCTTTCTTATTCCAAAAATGGCTGGGCCACAAGGCCCAAACCAAGAGAGATCAGCCCCAGCACAAGACCCCAAAGGCCACTCAGCATCTTGCTCTGGGCAGATTCAGACAGTGTCCCTGGGAAGTGAAAGCCTGTGTGTCAGAGCCTGTCCCCACACCCCACAGTGTCCTCATCTGGAAGCCTGGAGTCCTATCCAGGATGTAAGAGACAGAGGTAGTCTGTCACCAAGCAAAGGAGATGACAGGCAGGCAAAGACCCCAAGGGGCAGCATGGATGGATGAGGAGGAGGGGAAAAAGGAGATGACAACTCCTCAAGGATATGTCCTTCTATAACCCCACAGACCATCTCCAAGACATCAGCCCTAAGGTCAAAACCTAGAACTATAACACCTCAGAAGGCACACCGACAAGGCTGACCTATAGTCTGGGAGTCAGGTGATGCAAAGGGGCCACCATAATAAACTGGGAGAAAAGGAGGTCAGTTCTCAGAAAGTGCATTTTGACTTGAGACAATGGGATCTCAGTCTTCCATGACTACTAGTCCAGAAATTATATCGGGATACAGTTGTGTAGGAGAGAAGGTATGAAAATGTATAACAAGCAGAGGTTAGTAGTGACCTCACCCCCACAAGACCCAGAACTCCCCCACCCTTCCTTTTTTCCATTGAATTTATGATATCAATAAAGTGCTCCTTACATCATTCTACTGTGATGGGACTCTGGAGGCTGGGGTGCTCCAGATGGTAGGTGTAGACATCTCCATGCTCGGGTATTATTTCTAGCATTACAAGAATCTGGTAGGTCTAATCCCTATTCTGAATAGGTGTGGATACAACTCCAGCAGTCTGCTCCTGTTTTTTCTGGAACCATCTGAGTTTCACTTGGCAAGGAAAGAAATTTGTCACCAAACAGACCAGCAAATTGTGATGGCTGACCTCTGTCCTAGCTGGGGAGATGGTCACTGCAGGCTCCACTAGGACGAATGACAACAGGAAAAGAAACTTAGAGGGTAAGGCAGCAAAGAAATCCTCATCATGGGCTCACATCCCTCCTTTGATACTAAAGTGGAAAAGATAGCAGATATTAACTAGTCTTCTACTCCAATCCCAGATCTAGGTTTTAATTAGCTAAGTATTAAGTAGCTTGTTAGCCTACTCTTTAGAAAAGCAATACTTTTATTCAGTGGTCACTTGTTTATTAAAACAGATCATTCATGTGAAAGCTCTTTGTAACATAGACTGATAATATTTCAAATACTCGTATATACATATATGTGTAGGTATATGTACTTGCTTTCTTATGTCTGGTAAAAATAATAATTAAAAAAGATCTGACAATGTGTAACTATGTGTGATTTCTTACAAAACAGAGATCTTCATGTTTAAGTAAATCTTTAGCTCCATTATTCACAGGTTTTAGGGAAAACTGGCTAGCCATATGCAGAAAACTGAAACTGGACCCCTTCCTTACACCTCATACAAAAAATTTTTGACTTTTCTATTTCTCCTTTCATTTCTATCGGCTTTTGTCTCATGTATTTCGATGCTCTGTTGTTAGGTGCATACACACTTAAGATTGTTATGTGTCTTTGGAGAAATAACCCCTTATCATTAAATAATATCCCTTTATCCCTGGTAATATTCCTTGTTCTGACATCTACTTTGTCTAGTATTGACATAATTATCTCATTGTGGTTTTGATTTGCATTTCTCTAATGACCTGTGATGATGAGCTTTTTTTCATAGGTTTGTTAGCCACATAAATGTCTTCCTTTTGAGAAGTGTCTGTTCATATATTTTCACCACTGTTTGATGGGGTTGTTTTTTTTCTTGTAAATTTGTTTAAATTCCTTGTAGATTCTGGATATTAGCCCTTTGTCAAATTGATAGATTGCAAAAGTTTTCTCCCATTCTGTAGGTTGCCTATTCACTCTGATGATAGTTTCTTTTGCTGTGCAGAAGCTCTTTAGTCTAATTAGATCCCATTTGTCAATTTTGGCATCTGTTGCCATTGTTTTTGATGTTTTAAAGTCTTTCCCCTGCCTATATCCTGACTGGTATTGCCTAGGTTTTCTTCTAGGGTTTTTATGGTTTTAGGTTTTATGTGTAAGTCTTTAATCCATCTTGAGTTAATTTTTGGATGAGGAGGAGGAGAAAAAGGGGCGGCAACTCCTCAGGAGTATGTCTTTCTATAACCCCACAGACCACCTCCAAGACATCAGCCCTAAGGTCAAAGCCCAGAACTTCAACACATCAGAAGGCACACTGACAAGTCTGACCTGCAGCCTGGGAGTCAGGTGATGCTAAGGGGTCACCATAAAAACCTGGGAGAAAAGGAGGTCAGTTCTCAGTATGTCCTTTTGACTTAAGAAAGTGGTCCAATTTCAGTTTCTGCATATGGCTAGCCAGTTTTCCCAACACCATTTATTAAATAGGGAATCCTTTCCCCATTGCTTGTTTTTGTCAGGTTTGTCAAATATCAGATGGTTGTAGATGTGTGGTGTTACTTCTGGGGCCTCTGTTATGTTCCATTGGTCTATATATCTGTTTTGGTGCCAGTACCATGCTGCTTTGGTTATTGCAGCCTTCTAATATAGTTCAAAGTCAGATAACGTGATGCCTCCAGATTTGCTATTTTTGCTTAGGATTGTCTTGGCTATACGGGCTCTTTTTTGGTTCCATGTGAAATTTAAAGTAGTTTTTTCTAATTCTGTGAAGAAAGTCAATGGTAGCTTGATGAGGATAGCATTGAATCTGTAAATTACTTTGGCCAGTGTGGCCATTATCACAATACTGATTCTTCCTATCCATGAGCATGGAATATTTTTCCATTTGTTTGTGTCCTCTCTTATTTCCTTGAGCAGTGGTTTGTAGTTCCCCTTGAAGAGGTCCTTCACATCCCTTGTAAGTTGTATTCCTAGGTATTTTATTCTCTTTGTAGCAATTATGAATGGGAGTTCACTCATGATTTGGTTCTTTGTTTGTCTGTTATTGGTATATAAGAATGCTTGTGCTTTTTGCACATTGATTTTGTATTCTGAGACTTTGCTGAAATTGCTTGTCAGCTTAAGGAGATTTTGGGCTGAGATGATGGGGTTTTTTAAATATACAATCTCTTGCCAGTCAGAATGGTGATCATTAAAAAGTCAGGAAACAACAGATGCTGGAGAGGATGTGGAGAAGTAGGAACGCTGTACACTGTTGGTGGGGGTGAAAATTAGTCCAACCATTGTGGAAGACAGTGTGGCGATTCTTCAAGGATATAGAACCAGAAATATCATTTGACCCAGCAATTCCATTTTGGTCATATACCCAAAGGATTATAAATCATTCTACTATAAAGACACATGCACATGTATGTTTATTGCAGCACTGTTCACAATAGAAAAGACTTGGAACCAACCCGAATGCCCATCAATGATAGATTGGATTAAGAAAATGTGGCACATATACACCATGGAATACTATGCAGCCATAAAAGAGAATGAGTTCATGTCCTTTGCAGGGAAATGAATGAAGCTGGAAATGATCATTCTCAGCAAACTAACACAGGAACAGAAAACCAAACACCATATGTTCTCACTCATAAGTGGGAGTTGAACAATGAGAACACATGGACACAGGGAGGAGAACATCAAGAAAAAAACACAGAATATTATAACACTGCAACTGTGGTGTGTAAACTACTCTTATTCTAAGTAGTAAGACTACGTGATGAACCAATAAAAAATAATAACTACAACAAGTTTTCAAGACATAGTACAATAAGATGTAAATAGAAAAAACAAAAAGTTAAAAAGTGGGGAGATGAAGTTAAGGCAAGTTTTTATTAATTTTCTTTTGATTTTGTTTGCATGGTATACAGTTTCATTCATTTTACTTTTAATGTAGGTATGCCTTTATATTTAAAATGGGTTTCTTGTAGACAGATTATAGTTCAATTGTGCCATTTTTACTGTCTGATCTTCTTTATCATTTAATTGGTGTGTCTAGGCCAATTATATCTATGAAATTATCAACATGGTTGGATTATTTTTGCTAGATATTTTTTATTAATTCTATTAAACGTTTGTTCATTTTCAAAATTGTTTTTCTGCCTTCTTTTGGATTAGTTTTTGCCCTAGGATTTTACATTTATGTATAATATACTTTCAAATATACCTTAGCTCAGTATGCTCCAAATTTCTCTCTCTCTCATTCATTGTGCAATTGTTATCATATACTTTTTTATATTCCATAAACACACAATATATTGCTACTAATTTTGCTCTAGACCCTCTGTTACCTATAAGGTAACCTTTCAAAGACAATTCCGTTTGTTATTTAATATCATCCCCACCAATTCTTTGTCAGTAACAACTCCTATATGAATGAACTAGTTGCTTTAAACAGCTCTCTTAAATAAACTACACAATAACAAAAAAATAGTATGGGGAAAATACTGCTCCCTAATAGTCTTCTGTGGGAAAACACGCAAAATTACTCCCATGTGCAGATCTGCTTTCACCATAGCCCCAGGTTACTCTTCAGCTAAACAGAATAGGTTATTTGATAAAGACTTTGTGCAGAGACTATAGTATGTAATCAATAAATACTTGTTGAGTTGAACTGAAATTCTTAATTCATCTGAATCAGGTTGTAGAACTGACTACTGGGAAACAGATAATATTCCTCACGCCTAATAGCGATTGATTCTTTTCCTAGGAGCTCTCCAATCCTAATGTACATATTGTGAACGTTCTTTGAATAGATCTTTTCATTTATTTATTTTTAGAGACGGGGTCTTGCTACTGAGACAGCCAGGTGGGAAGGGGTCCCCAGATAAATTCCAGCCAGCCTGAGCACTGGGAGGAGTGCAAACTGGGACGGAGCCACAGAAGTTTGCACCATTTGCGGCAGGGAGGAGAGTGACCCCTCTTCTTTGGGTGGAACGTGGAATTCAATCTGTGAGGTGGGAAGCCCACTGGCAGAAAAAAATGCATTCTCTCACTTTGCTAAGAGCCTCTGTTTCCCCTTTTCTTCCTTTTCACCCAATACTCAACCTTCAAGTTGTCCTACTCACCCTTCAAGTTGTCTGTGAATGTAATTTCTTGTGGCTGTGTGGCAAGGACGCTGTCATTAGCTGAACTAAGGAAAAGTCCTGTAACACTATGTTTCCCAGGCTGGCCTCAAACTCCTTGGCTCAAGTGATCTTCCTACCTCAGTCACCTGAATTGCTGGGAGTATAGGCACACACCTCCACAGTCAGCTGTACAGTTATTTTTACTTAGCATTAGTGATTTTAAAATGACAAATAATTTTAAATGGAAACTTTAAAAGCAAGTGTTTATATGAAATTATTCATATGTATTTACCAAAGGTCATCATGTATATGTAAAGCATTTTACCTAGAAATTTTAAGTTGTGATTTTGCCAGAACATTAAAAACAGAAATAATAACACAAGAATAATTCAAATGTTTTAATAACTGACAACTTTAGGGAAAAATGAATCCAGATATGTGTGATGTTTGGGGATTTTGAAAAATACCTCAAACAAAAGAAATATTTTATAAATTATTTACAATGATACAAGTTGAGTAAAAATTATTCTTGCTATAGTATTTCTCTAAAAGTATCCCATTGACTAAAGAAGATTGGCAAGGACAATCTTGCACCTGAGAGATGGTGGAGCTTGAAAGGCTTACAATGGGCACTAAAGAGAGAAGATGGGGGCAGGGGAATGCTTCCACTCTCATTTGTCCTCCTCTCCGCGCCTATGCACTTGAGATAGTCATGCATTCATTATTATCTTTGAGTCGTGGGAATATTGGTGTCCATGGGATTTTTGCACCATAAGAAATGTAAAAGGAAGACCTTTACACGGTAGCCATATGATATCACATAGAAACCTGGATCTATACAAAGAAATAAACTCTGGAAATGAAACATTTTTTCACATTTAAAAAATGGTCTAAAATGAGGCTTCTCAACCTCAGAACTGTTGGCATTTTGTTTCAGGTGATTATTTTCTTGTAGGAGGCTGCCATGTGCATTGCAGGATGTGTAACAGCACCCCTGGCCTCTACCCAATACATGCCAGTAGCACCCTCCCCAGTAATGACAACAAAAGTATCTCTAGACATTGTCAAGCATCACTTGCAGGAATTTTCTATTGGCCCCATTTTAGAATGTCTGTGTTACAGAATCATACGAAGATACTAAATCGTTGTTGGAAGTCATTAAGTTTTGGAATAGTTTGTTACATAGAAAAATCTGACAGATACAACAGTCTTCAAAGAAGTTCTGTTTCCTAGAAATCTCTTAGTGTTTCTGTGGCTCACAGGCTCCTATATGCCTGGAGTGCCACAGGGAGAAGCTTAAATGAATGAAGAAAAAGTAATAGTCTGTCCCAGCCCAATGTGTGATGTTACTATCATTATCATTATTAATATTTGTCTTTATGTAGCAGCTCCCACTTGGGAATAGTTGCTAGGTGTCAGACACTGGCCTGTATTTAACTGTATAATTTGTACTTATCTATCATTTCATCATATTAATTATCTTCTAATAGTTTTCATCCCACATTATAGAAAATAACCCTAAGGCTCAGGTATTCTGAGTGGTTTGCCCAGGGTGATGGAGCTGAGAAAATCAAAAGCAGCATGGAATACATATTTATTTTATTACAAAATCTATAATATTTTTATTTTGCTACTCTAGACTCTGTTATTGTTGTGAAGCACCTTTAACTACTGCAAGATAGAAGTCTCGGCCTTCAGAGTAAAATTTCATCAATGTATAAAATTAGACTTAAAGATAGGGTCTTAGAGAATGTTATAACTGCTCCTTAGAACTAACATAATTTCTGCCTAATTTCTTAGAGGGCCCTTAATAATATCAATTGTAATGGCATATCCCATTGATATTTTAGTTACAAAATCAACGGCATGTCAATTAGTGCTTTCTAAGAAAGTTATTAGGCAAAGTAGTATTTTGAGCTCCAAATTTTATTCCCATTATTACTTTATGAAAAGGACTTTTTTCTTTTCTTTTCTTTTCTTTCTTTTTTTTTTTTTTTTTTTGAGATGGAGTCTCGCCCTGTCACCAGACTGGAGTGCATGGAGTGTAGTGGTGTGATCTCGGCTTACTGCAACCTCCGCCTCCCGGGTTCAAGCGATTCTCCTGCCTCAGCCTCCCGAGTAGTAGCTGGGACTACAGGCGCGTGCCACTACACCCAGCTAATTTTTTTTTTGTTTTTGTTTTTGTTTTTGTAGAGATGGGGTTTCACCTTGTTGGCCAGGATGGTCTCGATCTCTTGACCTTGTGATTCGCCTGCCTCAGCCTCCCAAAGTACTGAGGACCTTTTCTATTTCTACAAGTAAGAAATTGGTTTCTGTTAAAATGGTATACTGTTCTTCTGAGTCTAATTTACTGATTATTCTATCTTGCATTAAAATTATGACCTGAAAACAGAAGCAAATAGAACAAGGTTCGCTATATTCTGGCTGGATGAAGCAGGAGGAGGAGAGGGACACAAAACCAGTTAAAGATAGAAAGGGCATCTATTATCTTTTAGTCAATGACCTGGCCTTGCTTGGACTTTCCCTCCATCCCACAGGATGTGAGATCTGAGACTGAACCCATGACTTCCCTTCTAAGATACAATTCTGATCCCACATTTAACACCCTAACTTCCTAATTAGAGTTGAGTTTTTTAAACTGTGATATTAATAGGGGAAATTCTGGAGTACTATCAGGAAAGATTTAGTTCATTTGCCAAAATCTTAAGGAATTTCTGTCAGATACAAAGCAGGTAAGTCTGGATACAGGGGAAAAAAGATAGAAATGTGTTATTTACTACACAGCAAAGAGGATGCTGCACGGTGAAGGGAGCAGAGCTCAACTGCAACCTCCAAAACCCTCTTAGTTCACAATGGCAGTGGCTAGAAAGAGTAATAAGGCCACGTACAGTGTCATATATCTCTCCTAATCGTATTAGGGCACTTACTCAGAATCCACACAGAAGGAGACACCCCTCACCCCTCATGAGGAATCATGGCTTGCCCCTGTAGCATCCCATCTCTACTACTTACGAGCCATGTGACCCTGGGAAAAGTCCTTTACCTCTCTGAGTTTTAATGTCCTCCTTGAAAAATGTGGATGATACTAAAGTATGACAAGTATTTATAAAGAGTAATTCATTCCAAGTGCAGTATATGTACATTCCTCACAACCGCCTAATGAGGTACCATCAGTGCCTCCGGCCAAAGACCACGAAGAGCATACCCTTGAATGAACAAGTTGGCTTTATTGTCCGTTGCAATGATGGAGAAAAGTCACCATGGGGAATCATGCAGCAGTTCAGTAAGAGATTGTTGGAACCAAAGAAGTAGAACTAGGAGAACACATATATTAAGAGAATGACTGAAAGGAATTAATTTGTGCAACTGTGCGGGTGGACTAGGGAAGCCTAAAACCCACTGGGAGGCAGTCATCAGGAAAGGCAGGTTGAAATTCTTAGCACTGGCTGACGCGCTGTCCACAGTGGAATTTCTGTTTCCTCAGAGAAGCCTCAGCTCTGCTCTTAAGACTTTTCAACTGCTTAGACTAAGCTCACCCAATTTATCTCAGATAAATTCTTACTTAAAGTTAACTGATTATGAACTTTAATGACATCTACAAAATATCTTCACAGCAACACCTAGATTATTAGTGTGTGAATAACTGGGGACCACAGTCCAGTCAACACATAAAATTGACCATTAATCAATTGTAAGATTTGTGCTTGTGTTAGGTAGTTTTGAGGAGGATTTAAGAAAGAGGGACTTCATTTTTAACTGGATTCTGACAGAAAGCAGGGAGTGGGGATGGCAATGCTATGATTGGGTAGCTTCATAAATACTACCTAGAGGGACGGAAGACTATCCTGAGGCTACGGCTGTGATTGGTAAAGAAGCAGCAATCACTCTTTCGAGAGATGTGCCTGGTTATTTTTGTAGTTTGGACAATATTCATGTTTTGTCTGGGTGCAGACGTGATGACTGAGTGGCCTTATTTTCTGTCTCAGTCCATCACACTCATGGAGTACCTGTCTGATTCTGATGTTCTATGAAATTGATTATCTTCAACAGGAGAATCAAAACCAGCTGTGAACACCAGGCTAGCTCCTAGCAACCCCAAGGCCTTGTTAATTGCATCCAGGCAGCCCCCAGGTATCAGGACACTTTTTTATTTTACCTTTTTTTAGTCTCTGCCATTGGGAGGCAAGACAACATGCTGAGAATCTCAGAAGGCCATTCAACAAGGACAGAGTGATTCTAAACGAAACCTCCATTACTAACTTGTTGTTTCTATAACATACAGAAAATAGATTCATCTGAAAAAAGGTAAGTTTCCCTGTGATGACTACATTTTAGCTCATTCCCTAGTCCCTTGCAATATCTGAAATCTTAATGTGGTTGGATAACAAATATGAAAAGATCCAGTAGTTTAAGAAAAGTAAACCTATTTTCTAAGTTAAAGCAATTCTCCTTATTCTACTCTCAATATTTGACTTGACATTCTTAAATTTAAAAAAAATAATTACTGGCCGGGCGCGGTGGCTCACATCTGTAATCTCAGGACTTTGGGAGGCCGAGGCAGGCAGATCACGAGGTCAGGAAATCGAGACCATCCTGGCTCACACGGTGAAACCCCATCTCTACTAAAAATACAAAAAATTAGCTGGGCGCGGTGGCGGGCGCCTGTAGTCCCAGCTACTCGGGAGGCTGAGGCAGGAGAATGGCGTGAACCCAGGAGGCAGAGCTTGCAGTGAACCGAGATAGCACCACTGCAGTCCGGCCTGGGCCAAAGAGCGAGACTCCGTCTTAAAATAAATAAATAAATAAAATAAAATAAAATAAATTATTAGAGTAATTGAGCCAGCCAAAGCTTTTTTAATGTAATCAATGTCCCTAAATTTCCTTTAAATATATTCAAGCAGCACCGAAACACAGAGCATAAAGATTACTAGAAGCAAAAGAAAAAACTGTGTAAAAGATCGGTTACTGTAGGCAGCACCGCATGACAGTCTAACCCCTTTAATTGCCCTGGTCAAAAACACCTGGAGCTTTTGAGAACTTACCCAACTGGATTTATACAAGTAGAAAAGGCAAAGGTATTGCTTGGCTACCACCAGCAGAGATCCCTAGGAAGGTGGGGTCAAGTCAAAATTTGGGGAATACCATATACACTATGGAAGCAAAAAGAAAAACAGCTAACCCACATACAGAAGCCAGAGAAAGGGGAGGGGATGGGGACTGCCAGGGAGGAAAATCACTTCAGGGAAGAATTCCTGGAGAATGTAACCCAGAAAACCCTGAAGGATGCCATATTATTGATGACCTTACCTATCCAAGCGGCTGCTCAGAAATTCCCGCCCCTCTTGACACTAGCAGACATGCACACATGACAGAAGATTCAGATTTAGTATCTTCCCTTTATTTATAGAAAATTTCCTCAAGACCATGCTGTGTGGAGGATGTGTCAGAACCAGAGGATGTCCCTGTCTTCTTCCAGGGCTCTTAATATAAACTCTGCAACTGGCAAACAATATGTCACCATAGGGGATTTTTCTGATTGGCCAAAACCTGACCTGGCAGGGTTTGGTTTGGGTGTCTTCAGATTTGCTTGTCTCGAGGTCCTCACAATTGCTCTACAGCTCAGAGCAGCAACTGCTGAGGCTGCCTTGGGAAGAAGATGATCCTAAACAAAGCTCTGCTGCTGGGGGCCCTCGCCCTGACTGCCGTGATGAGCCCCTGTGGAGGTGAAGACATTGTGGGTGAGTGCATGAGTGAGGAATGTTCTCTGGAGCTGAAAAACAGCAAATTAAAGGAAAAGAAAGAGTGCAATTTGCTAAGAAATAGTAGAAATTTCCCAAGGGTCTTTTCAATATTAAGAAATTTTAAAATTATGGCAGTTCCTCCTTTAGGAAACCAGAGCTCCAACCGACTCTCTTTGCTACCTGTGCTATTGGAGTTTACCAAGGACGTTGTTCTGTTTATATTATATCCAGAGACTATAGCCTGGAGGTCTGTGTGGCATTCCATCATGATTGCCTCAAAGACTAGGGATGTTTCCATGAATGGAGTATTTTTTTGTTATTAAAAATTTCTGAACTGTTACTCCCAAATTTCTCTGAACAACTTTTGAAGCTTTTCATATGCCTCCTATAGCATATGTTGGGGTAGATAGTTCCATGAAGTATGTACACTCTATAGATATAAAGAAAGAGGTTCTTTTCTTTCTCTCAGACTTACATTTCCACATGGGAATTGGCACAGGTGGGGAGTAGGTGAAAGAGCCCAGCAGGCTGAATGCCTTCAACAATCATTTTACCACGTGGTAAATGTGGTACTTACTCTCTGCTACCTCATATATGTCACCTCGCTTATGATCAAATAAAATGGGCATGTAGATATGCTTTATGAATAGTAAAAACATGAATGTCAACTTTTTTTAACTTATTCCTATTACAGGTATAACTTCGTATTTTTTCTTTAGCAAAGTAAGGAATATATTTTAAAACTGAGAACTTTATGATAAAATGCTTGGTAAATTAAATTATTTTATTCTCAAATTGTCAACCCAAATTACTTGTTCTTCACCTTATCTAATGAAGTCTTATAAAGAGAAAAATGGGCAGGCACAGATTATTTGGTCCCTTAGTCCCCTCTGCCTTTGTCGTCCATCTCTTTCCACCTCTCTTCATGCATCCCTTTCTCCCTCTTCCCTTTCAGGATCCATCTCTGACTCCCTGCTCCTTTACAGACATGGGCAGTGGGTTTGTAAAACAAAAGTTGGAAAGTCAAATAGTTAAAAGGGGAAGTGAACTGGAAGCTACTCGAAACTTCCACAACCTTATTAACCATAGCTGCTCCCATTCTGATTTTGTTTGGCAGTGGAAGTTTCACCTGCTTCTCCAGAGCACTTGGCTTTTTTTTTTCAAATCTCCTTTCTTCAACCTCACACCAGAGTGCCCCGGTCAGGCTCGACTTATCCATTAGGAACAGTGTGGGCAGTGAAGGAGACTCTCCAAACTGTAAAGCTACAAGAGAACGTTTTAACTCGTTTTAAAATTAGAAGAAAAATGAAGTTTTACAGTCTATGAAAATGTTTTAACTTTTTTTTTTTTTTGACGGAGTCTCGCTCTGTCGCCCAGGCTGTAGTGCAGTGGCGCGATCTCGGCTCACTGCAAGCTCCGCCTCCCGGGTTCACGCCATTCTCCTGCCTCAGCCTCCCGAGTAGCTGGGACTACAGGCGCCCGCCACCGCGCACGGCTAATTTTTTGTATTTTTAGTAGGGACGGGGTTTCACCGTGTGAGCCAGAATGGTCTCGATCTCCTGACCTCATGATCCGCCCGTCTCAACCTCCCAAAGTGCTGGGATTTGTACAGGCGTGATCCACCGCGTCCGGCCTTAACTTTTAATGTAGCCTGGATTGTATTTGTCTTTATACCAATACAATCAGAAGCTGTAATTTTCCGTATTTTTATGGAGGAAGGCGCCCACAAAAGCAACAGTGCTCGGGGCTCACAAGTCAGAATTCAGCCCTGGGCATCCCTGATCCTGGGCTTTGCGTGGTTCTGCTACCTGGGTGCCTGTCAGTCTTCCCCAAAATCTATGTAATTGTCAAAAATTGCAATTGTCATTCAATACACATGTTTGAGCACACAATGAGCTAACTTTTGGGAATTCAAAGATAAAAAATCATGCTGTCTGCCTTGCAGAGGGTGCACAAACCAGTGATGGAAACAGTATGGGGCACAGGAAAGCAGAAGGCCCTGCTGAGCAGGACAGTGGCCCAGCAGAGGCTGAAACTATAAAAATGACTTGGTTCCAGCTGGGCCAGTAGAGTGATGTCCTCCAGCAACACTCAGCACCCAGGACAAGTACCAGATGAAAAGAAGGATTGCATGTATTCCACATATATTCATGTTTGAACAAGGAGTCAAAGTTTATTGTAAGGATAAGGAGTCTTTGTTGGTGGCCTGTTAAGTAACCAACCAGGGCAGTCATGCTGGGTAGGGAAGAAGGTGAGCTGGAGGAGGAACAGACAAACTTGGAGAGCCAGACATTGAGATTCCATTGAGGCGTTGGAGGTCACAACGCGGTCAAAAACATGTTGAGAGCACTTAGCTGCAAAGTTGTTAACTAAGTAGAAACCTCAAGGATGAATTTTAGGATTTCTCCAGGAAATCCTAAAAGATAACTTCTTTCAGGGAGAAAAAACAGACCCTTGCAAAGACATGAAAGGAAGTGTAGTTTGGTTTGATTGGCAGATAGTTGTGAAGAATGTCGGACTGTAAGGCTGTCGATATCCTCCTCACAGAACTCCCCAAAGTACATTGTATTTGCTCCCTTACCGACCTGATTCTCCCACTATTCAGTTCATTCCTTGATGCTGTTTTAAGCAACCCCTGCTCTGTCTGACACTTTTGGATGCTCAGTAAATGAGGAAGGAAGGAAGGAAAGATAAAATGGTAAAGGGCTCACACATGTCTTAACAAAAATGTCCAGTTCGGCTCATTTGGCTATACTTCATGGCTGCTGCTCTGCCCTTGCATCCTCGGATAAGCTCACTGCCCATTAGAGGAAAAAGGGTTTAATTTACCTGAGTCCTCGAGTGAATGTAATTGTTGAATCAGAACACTATAGACATTTAGTAACCTCCTTCAGAGGAAAAAAAAAAAAGTGGGGGCAATGACAGAAATTAAAAAACCAGTCGAGCTTCCACTTTTCATTTCAGAAGAAATCAGGTGCTCTCCTCTAAGGACCACTACTATTAACAAAACAGAGACCTTAGAAGAATTGTTTATTTGTTATAAATGTATAATGTTGCTATTCTTGTAATAGTCTTTCTCGTACCCTATAATTGTTAGAAGAAATTCTTTTAAGTTAATACGTTCCTACATGCTTTTCTTTGGTTTAAAAAAAAAAGAATAAAGGAAACTCTGTGTAGAAAGTGTCCTGTTCTGATCTAGTCCTGACAGGAAACGAAGTATAATCAACTTGTTATTAACTGAGAGAGAAAACTTAGGAAGCAGAGGGAAATAAACTGAATCTCTGAGTAAGAAAACTAAATCCTATGATAACTCATTCATTCCTTCCTTTGTTTATTGCAATATTCATCATAAGCTTATGATGTGCCAGGCACTAAGTAGGCACTCAGGAAATAACAGACGTGTGACGTTCTGCCTTTGTGGAGCATATGTTATAGTGAGAAAGACAGAATCAGTTCTAACCTGATGACTACCAACGTTAGGCAAGGAGGAAGCAGGTGTTAGGAAGATTGTTCAAGGACTGTGCCAAAGATGAAGCCCATAATATTTGAAAGTGAGTTTCTTCAATCACTTTCTGTATTAAGGTTCTTTCTCCCTGTGTTCCACCCTCCTGCTTGTCACCTTCACTCGTCAGCTGACCATGTTGCCTCCTATGGTGTGAACTTCTACCAGTCTCACGGTCCCTCTGGCCAGTACACCCATGAATTTGATGGAGACGAGGAGTTCTACGTGGACCTGGAGACGAAAGAGACTGTCTGGCAGTTGCCTATGTTTAGCAAATTTATAAGTTTTGACCCGCAGAGTGCACTGAGAAATATGGCTGTGGGAAAACACACCTTGGAATTCATGATGAGACAGTCCAACTCTACCGCTGCCACCAATGGTATGTGTCCACCATTCCGCCTCTCTTTACTGAAACTAATCTTTCATACCAAGTTTTACTCCCTTCTTCTCAAGAGATTTCCAGATCTTCTCATGGTAATTGCTGAAATTTTATCATCTCCCATCTCTAAAATCACATATTCCCATGTAATACAAGGGTCTTTCCATTATGTATTAATTCCTACTTTATTAAACATGCCCACAGAGAGAAGGGCACAGGAATAAAGCAGAGGCAATGTGTCGTTGCTCCCAAGCAGAAGGTAAATAAGACCTCTTTGACTATCAGGTGGTGAAATGCTGGTAAGAGGGCTCTTCCAGGATGTAATGCAGAAGCTCATGGCAGAGCTATTCACACTTCACATCAGTGCTGTTTCCTCACCACAGAGGTTCCTGAGGTCACAGTGTTTTCCAAGTTTCCTGTGACGCTGGGTCAGCCCAACACCCTCATCTGTCTTGTGGACAACATCTTTCCTCCTGTGGTCAACATCACCTGGCTGAGCAATGGGCACTCAGTCACAGAAGGTGTTTCTGAGACCAGCTTCCTCTCCAAGAGTGATCATTCCTTCTTCAAGATCAGTTACCTCACCTTCCTCCCTTCTGCTGATGAGATTTATGACTGCAAGGTGGAGCACTGGGGCCTGGACGAGCCTCTTCTGAAACACTGGGGTAAGGATGAGTTCCACCACTTCATGGGTTTCTAATAACAGACTTCACTCTTCTCCCTAAGCCTGGGGCCTTGAGTCTTGCAGAGCCAGCCCTCCACCCCATCCCATCCCACACACATGCACATGAGCACACTGCACATTCTGACCTCAACAGCTCCACTTTCACAGAGCCTGAGATTCCAGCCCCTATGTCAGAGCTCACAGAGACTTTGGTCTGCGCCCTGGGGTTGTCTGTGGGCCTCATGGGCATTGTGGTGGGCACTGTCTTCATCATCCAAGGCCTGCGTTCAGTTGATGCTTCCAGACACCAAGGGCTCTTATGAATCTCATCCTGAAAGGAAGGTAAGATTGAGATTTGTTGGAGCTGAAACCTCAGTATGAGAGGGAGGAAAGTGGGAGGGGGTTGTGGACATGAATGTGGTTGAAAGTTGTAGGCGAATTGGGAAGTGGCATGATGATCACACAGGAGGCCCCTCAGACCCATCGATCTCATGTCTGTCCTGTTGCAGGTGCATCACCATCTACAGGAGAAGAAGAATGGACTTGCTAAATGACCTAGCACTATTCTCTGGCCTGATTTATCATATCCCTTTTCTCCTCCAAATGTTTCTTCTCTCACCTCTTCTCTGGGACTTAAGGTGCTATATTCCCTCAGAGCTCACAAATGCCTTTCAATTCTTTCCCTGACCTCCTTTCCTGAATTTTTTTATTTTCTCAAATGTTACCTACTAAGGGATGCCTGAGTAAGCCACTCAGCTACCTAATTCCTCAATGACCTTTATCTAAAATCTCCATGGAAGCAATAAATTCCCTTTTGATGCCTCTATTGAATTTTTCCCATCTTTCATCTCAGGGCTGACTGAGAGCATAACTTAGAATGGGTGACTCTTATGTTTTAGGCCAATTTCATGTCATTCCCCAGATCATATTTCATGTCCAGTAACACAGGAGCAACCAAGTACAGTGTATCCTGATAATTTGTTGATTTCTTAACTGGTGTTAATATTTCTTTCTTCCTTTTGTTCCTACCCTTGGCCACTGCCACCCACCCCTCAATTCAGGTACCAACGAACCCTCTGCCCTTGGCTCAGAATGGTTATAGCAGAAATACAAAAAAAAAAAAAAAAAGTCTGTACTAATTTCAATATGGCTCTTAAAAGGAATGACAGAGAAATAGGATACAAGAATTTTGAATCTCAAAAGTTATCAAAAGTAAAAAATTTTGTTACCAAAAGTCAAACTGCATTCTCAAAACTTTAAATTTGTGAAGAATGACAACAGTAGAAGCTTTCCTCTCCCCTTCTCACCTTGAGGAGATAAAAATTCTCTAGGCAGGAAAAGAAATGGAAGCCAGTTAGAAAAACATTGAAATAAGGCCAGGCACGGTGGCTCACACCTATAATCCCAACACTTTGGGAGGCCAAAGTGGGCAGATCACTTGTGGTCAGGACTTGGAGACCAGCCTGGCCAACGTGGTTACACCCTCTCTCTACTAAAAATACAAAAATTAGCTGGGCATGGTGGTGGGCACCTGTAATCCCAGCTACTCAGGAGGCTGAAGCAGGAGAATCGCTTGAACCTGGGAGGTGGAGGTTGCAATAAGATTGTGCCACTGCACTCCAGCCTGGGCAACAGAATGAAACTCCATCTCAAAAATAAATAAATACATATAAATAAATTTTTTAAAAAAGAAAAATATTAAAATAAGGCAATAATATAAGTGGGTATCTGAAAAGGAACAAATGCTTGTTCCTTACTTAGGGTTAGTGACAATGGAAAACAGATAGAAGTAGAAGCTACAGACCCATTTAGGGGCCCCAGCCCCCTGCTCCTCCCCCTTCCTGGCTAAGGAAAGCATGAGCCTATGAGAGAGAAATCCTAGGAAGAACAAGACAGTTGAGACAATGTAGCAGCAGTAGTGGGTGTTGTGTCCTACACTGGATTCGTGGTCTCCTAATAGAAAATCTCTCAGAGGAAATGGGTCCACAGAGACCTGAGGGCTCTAAACAGCTATGAAATCTGCCAGGATATTTCTGTCCATGCTATCTGCATCAGTGAGTTTAAAATGTAATAGGAGAAAAAAAAGAGACAAAACATTAACATAATAATTGATACAGCATAGTTTTGTACAAAGAAACCTAAATCCAAATACTTGACTCAGTATTTTGAAGCTAATATTTTAAACTTTACTGGGTAAAGTATCTGATTGACATTTCTGAACCTTATTTTTCTCATCCACAATGTGGGAGTGATAATATTTTCCTTGCAGAGTTATTGACAGAATTTGAATAATCTTGGTATATAGACAGTGCCTTACACGTAGTATATAAATATATAAGAAAACACTGCAGTTATGTTTATAATGGATTTATTAAAAAGAATGGATCATATTATATGAAAAGTACATTTGTTTTCCTTAGCCCTTTAGTGATTTAGGAGATTCAAGCGTAGACGTAAAAGTGAGTTTCTTTTCATATGTTAACTGGAGGATTTTTTTCTTTCTTGAGAGGCTGAGATTGGGTTGATAAGAGAACTCTTAGGACAAGAAGTTGTAATATTTGACTTCGGTTTTTAACTCTCTAAGGGGTATATTCCCTCCTTATGGCCCATAAATTTTAAGTCAAGGTGAATTATATGCAACAGCAGTTTATCCATATTTACTTTGGGGAGGAGGTGGGGAGACTCCGGGAGAAAATAATTATAAATGCAGACTGGGAATTAGTAAGTGCAGGGAATCTGAACCAGTGGTGATCATGAAAACGTCCATCACAGAACACAGAGGATTTTTAGGGCAATGAAACTACTCTATTTGATACCACAATGGTGAATAAATATCATTATGCGCTTGCCCAAATCCATAGAATGTACAACACCAAGAATGAACCTTAATATAAACTATGGACTTTGGGTGATAATGATGTGTCAGTGTAAGTTCATAAGTTGTAGCAAATGTACCTCTGTCGTGGAGGATGTTACTAGTGGGGGAGGCTATGCATGTGTGGGAACAGAGAGCATATGGGATACATCTATCTGTACTCTACAATTTTTCTGGGAACCTAAAACTTCTCTAAAATAAACTCTATTAAAAAAAAAGAAAAGAAAAGGTCAACAATAATGATCCCAAATATATAAAATTAAAACTGTAGTATAAAAATGGTCACATGAAAATGCATGAATGTGCTAAGAACTTTTCTGCAATAGGATTTAAAATAAATTTTATATAAATTTCAATGATTCATGAGCCAAGAACCCAGCATTCTGGAGGTGTGTGCATTTGTGTGTGTGTGTGTGTGTGCGTGTGTGTGTGTAAGGCTTACATTGAATGGCATTATAACCAGAGTCATACAGAAATACACAAATGCTCCCCTATTTAGAATCCTTCCCCAAGAAATACTGAGGAAAGCAAATATAATGGTAGTTGGATTTTACTGAAAGAATGTATTCAAAAAGTATTTATATAATGTTAAAATAGCATAGTTAAAATTAGTTTTATAAAATAGAGCAAATATATCTTTTTATCAGCTAAAAGTTCAAAGTGAAATCATCATTATTATATTATTATATTATTATTATAAACAGTTATAAATCAGGCTGCATGATTTTAAATTAAATGATTATTAAAAATTGTTATCTGAATTATTTCAGATTACATACATAAAGTATGACTTCATTAATAGGTAATATCACATTGTTCAAATTTTACAAAATTTCCAGTCACAATGGTTCATGCCTGTAATCTCAGCACAAGGTGAGGGTCCCTTAAAGCCCAGGAGATGGAGACCAGTCTGTAGTCCCAGCTAGTAGGGAGGCTGAGGCAGGAGGATTGCTGCTTGAGCCCAGGAGTTCAAGGCTGCAGTGAGCTAGGACTGACTGCACCACTGCACTCGCTCCAGCCTGGGCAACACAGCGAGACCCCGTCTCTAAAAATAAATAAATAAATGAATGAATGAATAAATAAAAATTACAAAACGTAAAAATCACGTAAAATATTTCAGGTTTGTACTTACCACATACAAACTAGAGATATGAAGAATTAAACATTACAAATAAAGCACTTCACACACAGACTGGCCCATAGTAAGCAGTTTATAGAAATTAACAAATTTGTGTTATTGTTATTTTCTGGAGTCCAAGACAAAATCCCATGATGAATGACACCACAAGGATGTAAGCAACAAAATTCAGAATATGAGAAGTTCTACTAGATTAAATAAAAAGATTTCTCCAGCAAACAATTTGCAAAAAAAGTTAAAAATAGAGAAAAGAAAAGCTATACACTTGAAAAAGACTGAAGAAATATAGTAACCAAATGCTGAGCTTTGTCTAGATTCATATTCAAACAAAACATCTGTTAAAAAATTTATATGAGGCAATCAGAAAAATTGACACTGAGTGTATTAAGGAATTATTTATCTCGTTTTAAATGTGTTAGTGGCATTGCTGTTATGTTTCTAAAAAGCCATTATATTTTAGATTTTCATAATAAAAATGTATAAATGAAATATGATACCTAAAAATATCTTCAAAATAATCCATTATGTGCCTGTATGATAACTGGGTGGGTTTACAAAATTGCTCATGAATTGATTATTGTTAAAGCAAGGCTGTTGATACATGGAATTCTTCTCTGTACTATTGCACACAGTTGAAATTTTCTGTAATACAAAGGTTTTTTTTTTTAAATGTATTCAGGAAAGTCCCATAAACATAGGCAGACAAGCATTCTGTTTGAAGTTATGTTAGTTTTTCAGTTTTTCTCATTTTTATCACATTTAGGAAACCCTGTCCAAGGCCTGCCCAAGACTGTAAGAACCTCTCAGGAATGCAACTGTAAAGAATGTGTATGCAGGAACTAATAATAACAAAGGAAAGCAAAGTAATGCTTGCTTTATTATTGGCTGGACTAAGCCCCCAGACTTGTTTATATATTCACTAATTCATCAAAAATGCAAAAATGGTCATTGAGTCCCAGTGCTACAATAAGTACTCATAGTTTGTTGAATGTTATTAAAATAATGTGAAAACAATTACATTCATTATCTTCATAGAACTTACACTCCAGTGGGAGGAAAATACATATATTACATAATTCCACAAACATAGTTACAAGGTCTGAAACATTTATAAAGAAAAAGAATGAGGTAAAATGAGAGAGTGTTGCACAGGGACCAGGTATGATTTGGGGCAGTTTAGAAGTGGCTTGAAGAAATGTATCTTCAGATGAAATAAGGTGGTATACAGTAGGTAAAGGACAAGGTTGAAGAGGCCAGAGCAAATGTTTGAGAAACTCTTACAATATGAAAGAGAAGATGAGAATAAAATAACATGAAAATTATCACAGATTTAATAGAGAAAGTTCATGTAACAGCAAACAAGTTTAAAGTCATTCTAATTAGAATTCTTGATCTGTAAAAGTAATAATAGAATGCTAAAAACAATTGGAAAATTTAATAGAAAGATTGGAAAATTAAATCAAGAAAATCTCACAGTAATTTAAAAGGCAAAAAAAAAAATATAATATATGGTAGAAAAAATAAGATGGAGAACAGACCAAGGAAGTCAAACATCAAGTGACAAAGCTAGAGAGACCAACAGGGAAGATGAAGGGAGAAAATGATCAGAACAAATAATAAGGGAAAATTTTCCAGATATAAAGGATTTAATTCTTCCATGGAATAGTCTTGTCAGGTATTTAGCAAAATTAACAGACTCACTTCTAAATATCTCATTTTCAAAATTTCAGAACTTCAGGTGTTATAGAAAAGTCATAAAATATTCCAGTGGCGGAAACCAAAATGAAACAAACTGACAACAAAAAAAATACTTCTATTATTAAGATAATGAGAAAGTCCTTGAAGTTCTAAAGGAAAATTATTTTTTATTAATAAATGTAGATCTTTTCAAAGTCACAATCAGGCATGGAGAAAGAATAAAAATACCTGTGAATGTGAAAGGACATAAAATTTACCTACCACGCAGAGTTTTACTAGAAATTGACTAAGGATATGACCAATTGAGATTGTTAATCAGGATATAGGAAGGTAAGGAATCCAGGAAACTGGGTTTAACCCAGGATCTCACTGAAAAGGGATCCTACTACAGCAGTTTCTTGGCAAGCAAAGAATACCTGACTACATAAGTGATATTTAGAAAGTGATAAACTTTTTTTTTCAAATTTAGAATTAATCTGTGAGCAAAGCCCAAGGAATCTTATTGCTACAGCAGAATGTCAATATTTTCAGCTTTGACAATATTGGGGGAAAAAAAAAGATGTAGATACTTAATTTTGGCAACTGGAAGCGTAAAGGAGAGGGGAAAGGGAGGGTAACAATGCCAATAACTTCATCTTCCAAGAAGGAGGGGAAGAGGCATTGCCCATACTTACAGAAGTCACAAAGATCAATATATTTAAATTACAATCACAACTGGAAAAAGTATGTAAAATGACTCATGAATTAGAGCAAGGTTTTAGAAATTGGACTATTATTTCAGTTACAAAAAAAATGGACTGTTATTCTTCGGCCTAAGCTATTCAGAAGCTGCAAGAGCCCCTCAGAGTTGGCCCAAATTAGAGCAGGCTTTTATACTCCTATACTGACCAATCATTATAGGTGAGTTCCTCCTGGGAAGTGGATCAAAATCCGATGAGGCAGCTTTCATCACCAAAGGCAATTCCGGGGCATGACTGACAGCTGAGGGCAGTCAGCCAGCAACATTCCCAGCAATGACAGAATAAATCGTTCAGTCTCAAAGGGAGGAGTTTAGGTACAGTGGAACAGCACTGACGGCAGAAACACTGTTCTAGTTCCTGGGAGTACATATACATTCATGTGGAAGAAAACAAACAGATAAAATTCAGCATCTATTTAAAAATTAAAAATAAAACTACCACATGATCCAGCAGTTCCACTTCTGGGTACATATGCAAAGGAAATGAAATCTGTATCAAAGAGATATCTGCACTCCCGTGTTTATTGCAGCACTATTCACAATGGCCAAGAGATGGAATCAACCTAACTATCCATCAGCAGATGAATGGATAAAAAAAATGTGGTGCATATACACAATGAAATACTATTCAGCCGTATAAAAGAAGGAAATCTTGTCATTTATAGCATGGACGAACCCATTGGACAGTATGCTAAGTGAAATAAGCCAGGCACAGAAAGACAAATACGACATGACCTAACTTACATGCAGAATCTTAAAAAGTCAAAGTCATGGAGGGGGTGGGGTGTGGGGAGAGGGAGAAAAAGGAATGAGATGTTGGTCAAAAGGTACAAGTTTCAGTTAGAGAGGAGGAATAAGTACTGAAGATCAATTGTGCAGCATGGTGACTAGTTAATAATATCATACAGTTGTCCCTTGGCATCCATGAGGGATTGGTTCTAGGACCCTTCCTGGATACCAAAATATAAGAATGCTCAAGTCTCTTATTAAAAATGGCTTAGTTTTTGTACATCACCTAAGTATGTTTTCCCATATACTTTAAATCATCTTTAGATTACTTATAATACTTAATGCAATGTAAATGCTATGTAAATAGTTGTTATACTGTATTCTTTTAAGCTGTATTATTTTTATGTTGTATTGTTGTATTTTATCATTTTTTCCAAATATTTTCAATCCATGGTTGACTGAATCAGAGGATGCAAAACCCACAAATACAGGGCCAGCTGTATTGTATATTTGAAAATTGCTAAGACAGATTTTAAATATTCATACCACATAAAAAAATAAGTATGTGAAGTGATGGATATGTTAATTAGCTTGATTTAATCATTTCATAGTGTATACATATATCGAAATGTCAATTGTACCTTATAAGTACTCAATTATTTGTAAATTAAAAATAATTTAAATTTTTTGAAATGTAACATTCTTAACTTTTTCTTGTTCAAATAAAGTTTTCTGTTCTTTATTTTCAAAAACTTTTTTGTTTAAAAATATCATCTCAATCATCTCAATTTCTATTAACTCAATTGATTCACCCTATTAACTTATGAACTCTCCTCTGAAGTTAAACATTCCATGATTATTGAGAAGGGTAAAGTTAATGTGCAGTAAGATCTTAGCCCACAGTAAAAAACAAATCTTAGTGATGTCACTTAATAAAGAGACTTAATTCCACAGTTTCTCCAGTGACTCAGGTTATATGGAGTTTCCAACGTCTCATCGTGCATCTACTTGCAAGTTCCATTGGCTAGTATTAGTCAAATGATCCCAACCTAACAGCAGAAAAGACTGGGAGATGTAAAGAACCTTATGGCATATTGACGAGCAACATTGTCTCTGAAAGATATGCTGATATTTCCTAAGGTAAGGACAAATGCTAACAACTGGCAGGTTGTTCTCTAGAACACCCACATACTTTCCTCCAAGTTATATGCCGACTAAGACTCAATTCTTCTTGTTAGCAAACTTATTTATAAAAAATGTACTTGTTACTTTAATTATCAATTAAAGATTATACTACCCAATGAAATCTGGGTGCAAAAAATAATTGTTTCTATGAAACTGTCAGTGGAAGAAAGGGAAAAAGACTTTGATCCTCTCATAACCAGGATGTGTTCAGTGTGACAATGTTGAACTGAATGTTCTAGAATCTGTGTTGGACTGCATTAAATACGGTCATAGGCTGCATGCAGCCCGCGGGCTGAGGGTTGGAAAAGCTTGTCTGCCTTAATGACAAACCCAGAGACTGACATGTAGACCATCTTCAGGGCTGAGCCCACATCAAAGGGGTCACAGTGTGTAGTGACGTCCCTCATAACCGGGAAGAGGGTGTCATCAGGAATGAACAGGTTACGATGTCAATGACAAAGGGAGCTCAGACAAGGAATGAGATGGCTGTGAACAGGTACCCCCACTGAGGGACCCTAGAACCAGAGGAAGCTCTGCCGTTTGACCTGTGTGCTCCACAAGAAACAAACTTCCCCTACACCACTCTACTGTGAGGAGGCTCTGGAGGCTGAGGTGTTCCACATGGCTGGTGTAGACATCTGCACACTGGAAGTCATTTCCAGCATCAGAAGGATCTGGAAAACCCAGTCCTCCTTCCTAATAAGAGGGATGAGCATGCTGGCTGGCAGCATCCCGTGCACAGGATGGTGTGTTTGGGAGGTGTGCATGTTACCCAGGCTTGGACAATCAGAATCTTTCCCCAAATTATTAAAACTCTGGTAGACACTTCAGAAACATATACAACAAAGACAGACACACACACACGCACGCACACACACTCAAACGAAGAGAGACATGAGATAAGGTGTGAGGTAATAAGAAAGATGCAGAAAATAAAGAGATGCAAAAAGAAAAAGAGAAAGAAATGCAGATAAATAGTGCCAAAGGATTACAAAAATAGAGAAAGGCAACAATGCAGTGAAAGAGACACAAGAAGGGAACAAAGACAAAACTGGAGAGAGACACACAGAAAGAACTACACAGGGACAAAGAGACACACGGAGAGGAGAGGAGGATGCACAGATGGAACTATAACAGAAAGAGAAGAGAGAGATGAAGATCTCATGGAATATCTGGAACTAGTCACTTCTGAAACCAACATTCCTTGTAACATGAATCAAATATCTTTGGGTTGGGTGTCTATCATTTGGAACCAAAAATAGTACTTTCATTCCTGGTTATGCTTTCTTAAAAATAAAAATTAGCCTTGATTGATGTGACTTGCCAGCCAGAATATATTTGAAACATCAGTCACTATAATTGTCCCCAAACAATTCCACCATGCTTACTTAGACAACACTCGCCAAACCGGAAGAGAGGCTGGGATGTCCTAAGGCCATTGCACTGAACATCAATATTAAAGAACCATGAATGATGTGATGACTGAATTGATTTTCTACCTCCTCTGCCTACCCTTACTTTGCACCCCAAGATGCTTTCAGTGTCTTTTCAAAGTACAACCCTCTTTCTAGCCACGGTTTGGCTGGGTCACCTCAAGGTATGTTCCTTCACTTGGCAGTGGTTTCCTACCTCTGCTTAGTTAAGGAAGTTCCGAACACAGATAACTCAGAATCAGGTTTAATTATGGGAAAAAGCACTAAAGTTAGGTAAATGATTTTGTTTGTCATGCTTCTCTTGACAGGTCTGTGGGGGGAGAATGGAAACAGAGATGCCCCTTGGGGCCTGAGTAGACACAGCTTGCAGTGCACAGGCAGAGGCTCTGGGTCAGTGCAGGAAGCAGAGTCACCGCCAGTGCCTTGGGATGGGGATCACAGAAGGTGACCTGTGGCTGCATGAGCCACTGTAGGACTCTGACCTCAGTGGGACAGGATGACACAGGCAGCTAGGAATTCTGGGCAGGGGCAGGTGGGCATTACAGAAGAGTGATGACCAATCCCAGACAAAAGTCCTCAGGAGTCAGTGCAGGAGTCCTGGAGAAGAGAGATGAGGCATGATCAGCACAGGGTACCCTGAGGGACACACCCTCTCCCCCAGTCCTGAGTTTCCTCTGCAGCATCAAACAGAGGATGCTGAGGTCCAGGGCATATCATCATCACGTTCCCCAATATCTGTGTAAAGGTAAAATCAGCTCATGAGGACACAGAACTTCAGCTTGATGCAGATATGTGGAGGTGGGGGAACAGCAGTTACCCTTCTGGGTAATATGAAGAGTTTGATTTTTTTAGTAAATTGGGTGACACTTCATCTCCACCACTAGCAGCCTCTTTTAGTCACTGAAAATGCCTACAGGCAGTAGCTAACAAAATGTGGCACAAAGTGGGCATCACCCTACTATCTCACATTCAAGATGTGGCTCTGTCCCCACATTTCACAAAAAGATGCCACCAAAGTTAAGGCCTGGTTCTAGGAAACAATCTCTGGAGATTCGTAGAAACTGGCAAACTTCTCCCCTAAGTCTTAACCCTCATAGCAGCAAACAGGCCATGAACAGAGACCACTGTGCCCTGGAACACTCCGCTCATGCTCTTCTTTTTTTTTTTTTTGAGACAGACTCTAGCTCTATCGCCCAGACTGGAGTGCAGTGGCGCCATCTTGGCTCACTGCAACCTCTGCCTCCTGGGTTCAAGTGATTCTCTTGCCTCAACCTCCCAAGTAGCCGGGATTACAGATGCACACCACCACGTCCAGCTAATTTTTGTATTTTTAGTAGAGATGCGGTTTCACCATGGCTCTTCCCTCTTATGCCTGTGCCCTCTCCCCTGACTGGATCATGGCTGAAATATTACCTGCAGGTGGAGGCCCTCGAGGTCCTACAAAAGGAAGTTATACAGAGAAAGGTCTTGTTAAACAAACAACCACTATCTTACCCCAAAGGAAAATGACACATGTAGTTTAATTGGGGTTATATCCTCTTCCCTCCCGTGTTCTTTAAGTCCTTAAGCACCCTAAGTTAAAATCCCCCAAAACAAAGGAAATTGTCACTAGAAGACAAGGAGGCCGAGGCTCTGACCCTCTTAATGGAGGAAGCTTTTAGAAAGGAGCCAGTGAGACGATGATGAACGGTAAGGACGCCCTGGAATAAGCTCTATCAGTCAGCTCTGGCAGCGCTACCATTCACCCAGTAAAATCAGATTCCAATGCCTCCTCCAATCTTGTCCTGTCTCCTCGCACTTCCTCTCAGGGTAAGGAGGAAAGAGCTACATCTAGAGACAGAACCTCTCTGAATAGAGGGTCTGGGTCACAGCCCATCTTCCCCCATTTCCCCCTTGGGTTCCTCACCTTTCTGACCCCTGTGACGGATGATAAGGCCCAGCCCGAGGAAGATCAGCCCCAGCACGAAGCCTCCAACACCACCCAGCATCTTGCTCTGGGCAGATTCAGACTGAGCCCCTAAGGAGCAGAGCCTGAGTGTGAGTGTTTGTCCCCACACCCCATAATGTCCTTGGTACAGGAGGTGGAGATGTCAGGGGACACTAGTTCTCCAGTCTGACCACCCTAGGGAAGAGAAAGACCAGCCAGTAGGTCTTTGGACACAATAGGTGGGTGAGGGAGAGGAGGAAGCACACCCCTGCCCCTCAGGACTTCATCCATAACCTTAAACCCTAAGGCCCCAGTCACCAGCCCTAAGTCAGTCTCTCATAGCTGTCAGAGCTGGTTCTGGGGCTTTAGTAGTGTTGATATGGTTTGATTCTGTGGCCCCACCCAAATTTCATGTTCAATTGTAATTAACAATGTTGGAGGTAGAGCCTGGTGGGAGGTGACTGGATCATTAGACCAGATTCTTGTCACCATCTCCCTTAGTACTGTCATTACAATAGTGAGTTCTCATGAGATCTGGTTATGTAAAACTGCGTAGCACCAACCCCCTCTCTCTCATGCTCCTGCCCCTGCCCTGTGAGACACCTCACTCCCTCTTTTCCTTCTGCCATGATTAGGAGCTTCCATATGTCTCCCCATAAGCAGAAGCCACTATGCTTCCCCTACAGCCTCAGAATCATAAGCCAATTAAACCTCTTCTCTTTATAAATTACCCATTCTCAGGTATTTCTTTATAGTGGAGTGAGAAGAGCCAATTAAACCTCTTTTCTTTATAAATTACTCAGTCTCAGAGATTTCTTTGTAGCAGTACAAGAATGGACTAACACAAATGTGGAAAGTGATCTCCCTGGTATCTGGAAAGACAAAGAGATCAGGATTCATCTGATGTGCTTGCCATGGGGCAACAGGTGCTCTAGTCTCCTGTGATTCCCAGCTCAGTAGTGATGTCAGGGACAAGAGATGGGATGGGAAGGATCAGCGGGAGCTCTTCCCTTTGTCTTGTGGGGCCCACAGTAAAAGGAAACCAGTTTCCCCTTACGCCACTCCACGGTGATGGGGCTCTGGAGGCTGGGGTGCTCCACTTGGCAGGTGTAGATGTCTCCACGCTGGGGAGTTATTTCCAGCATCACCAGAATCTGGAAGGTCCAGTCACCATTCCTAATGAGGGAGGTGGACACAACACCGGCTGTCTCCTCCTGGTCATTCCGAAACCACTGGACTTTGATCTGGGCTGGATAGAAATCTGTCACTGAGCAGACCAGCAGGTTGTGGTGGTTGAGGGCCTCTGTCCTGGATGGGGAGATGGTCACTGTGGGCTCCACTGAGGGCAGTAACAGACAGGGAAAGATATAGGAGTGAGATGTGAGACCACACAGCACGCCTGCTGTGAGGAAGGTCCCTCCTTGGAACCAGAATGGAAAGATACCTGGAGTCCAAGTCTTGGATTAAGGTTCCTTCAACAAATATAAATTTGACAATCACTGAGAATCCAAAAATAAACAACAAACCCTGGTTCCTGCCTTTATAGAACTTGCAATCTAGTAACAGAGACCAAAAAATTGAATGTTATTTCAAAAGTTTGTAATATTTGAAGGAAAAGTAGGCAGGCCTTGAAAAAAACGAACACTGATCAAACATCATGTTTGCCCATAACTCAATTCCTTTATCTTCTCAGAGCGGTGCTCATGGTCAAAAATGACACACCTTTCCCTGCATATTTTATACATCTTAACCTTTGCCTCTCTGGCCATTTTACTGCATTTCCTTTATTTCTTTAGTGTAAAATTATAGTAAATATTTAATGTATGCTTTATTTACTTGGTAATATGTTCTCTCATTTTCCTGCTTTTTCTTAATTTCCTTTTAACCCTCAAGATAGTGTAATTACTAGCTGCCTACCCTACTCCATCCCCTTGCTATTGAGAATTACTTTCTTGTTCTGAAATCAGACATTATCATGTACGTTCTCCATAGGAAATATTCTGAGATCCATGCAGAGGTTGGCCTGGGTGAATGTGCCTGTAATGCAAACATATACATATAGCTGGGATTTGCTGAGGTCAGCAGGTAGCACCCCAATTAAATGGCACTCTTGAGCCATTGTCTGGAAGGAATCTTGGTTTCTGCTTGGACTTGAACTTTTCTTTAGGCCCTCCTTCCTGGAGTCTGACTGAAATAACAGTCAGCTATGTGGGGACTTACAAGATTTGTTCATCTTAAAAAGACTGAAAGTAAAAATAGAGGGCACAAATTCATGAGAAAAAAATGATAGAATAACTTTTATAGAAATAGACTTGAAATGGCAAAAATATAAATACTTGACAGCATTAGGATGTGGGTCAGAAGAAGGCAAGGAAGTTTTGTGAACCTGCATAGATAACACTGGGGTCAGACTAGGGATTGATTAATCAGTGAATTTTCAATGCCTTGAAAGTATCATTTTGTCCCATTAACAGTGAAAACAGGCAGGAATAGACCCATTGCTGCTTCTTGTCAAAATTGGCTTTAACAAGGCTTTACTTCCCTTAGGCTGTGTAGACGAGTATTGAAGAACATAAAAGAATGCTGTGTATTTGGGGGAGGCTTCAGGTCCTGGTGCATAATTGTGGGTTGATTACTTAAAGTGTTTATCATGTACCAATATTACGATATATAAAGTGGCAATGCTAATCTCTAATGCACAGGTAACTGTGCTATTAAATGACATAACTTAGATGGTGTTTGCTAAGGCAATTGTCTAGAAATAAGTGCTCACTAAGTGGGTAAAATTGACGTTCAGAATGTTTATCCCTGAAGTGGATAGTGATGGGGGGAGGGAGAAAATCTACTCCAAAAGCAACCTGAAACTATTTTTATTCAATAATTTAGTGGCTTCAATCTATGTATTCCAAAGCTTCTGCTCTTTTCATTGTGCCATTTGTTCAGCTTTTCTAAGAAATTAAAACTGCCTTATAACACCATTCAAGAGTTGTTTTTATTTTCAGCAAACACCTTTTTCCCTAGACTGCATTCACAAACCTTACTAAGATCCAAGTCAATAAGAGTTTAAAGCATCAAGCAAAATAATAGAAAATAATTGATAAAGTCCATCTTTAAGGCTCTATTTATCCTCTGCTTTCCCTTGAGCCTAAGTGGATGGGCAGCTGAGTACATTTATTCATTAATTTAACAGAAGATCATTGAGCTCATACCACATGCCAGTCCACGAGTCAGGTACTAGGCATGCAATGATTAAAACACTCTCACCTCAAAGAGCTCCGCCATGAATGAGAGCCGTTTAAGAAAACAGAATTACGATGAATAATAATTTGAAGCCAAAAGTTAAAATATCTTATTTCACAACTGTAATTGCTGGATGCCCTGCGCGCAGTTGTGGAGCAGCCCTAACTCCACCAGGCCAAACCTGAAGCTTCCTGCGGCGCGAGCTGTGCAAGTGGGCCTTGCTGGGTGGGGCAGTGCTAGTGGGGCGGGCGGGCAGGGGAAGAGGGCGGGCATTCGGGCAGAAAGAACTGCTTAGCGAAGGTAAGGCACGAGGAGGCAAACGCATAAGGCACAAGGCAAGAACATGCAGAGCAGAGGACAAGGCCGATGGACGGGGAGGCTGGGGACACACTGGGCAGCCTAACCCAACCCTGCAGGGAACTAAGGGATGCTTTTGTGCATCCCCCTGCTCTGCCCTAGATCCCCGCCCCTCCGATACTACCCCAGCCTCCAAATCCCCGCCACCTTCCTGTACCCTGGGATGGACCAGGGCTCGGTCCTTGAGGCCGCGCCGTCCTCGCCCCTCTGTGCGCAGAGACTCGGGCCCCGGCCAAGGGTGAGCACCGCGGAAGGACGACGACGCTCACCTTGCCGCTGCAAGGTCGTGCGTAGCTCCGCCTCGTAGTTGTGTCTGCACACCTTGTCCACCGCGGCCCGCTCCTGCTCCAAGAAGTCCTTATAGTTGTTCCAGTCCTCGATGCTCCGCCCCAGCTCGGTCACCGCCTGGAACTCCCCAACGTCGCTGTCGAAGCGCCCGTACTCCTCGCGGTTATAGATGTATCTGGCCACACCCCGCACGCGCTCTGTCCCGTTGGTGAAGTAGCACATGCCCTTAAACTGGACCAAGAAATCCTCTGCGGAGAATCACGGCGGGTCAGTCAGGCGCCAGCACGGCCCTAGCCCCAGCCCCCAGCCGGACCGCACCCTTCAGCCGCTGCCCTGACCCGGCCAGCAGCTGCGAAACCCGTCCAAGCGAAATTGAGTTCTTGGCTGGGCCCGTGCCTCGTGCTCCGGACCTGGGATCCTCGAGACATCTCTGCCCCAGCCCTGCCCGCCCTCTCTGAGGGCCTCGGGAATCTGCCTTCCTTTAGGGAGGTAAGAGGGAAAGCCCAGTCCCTGCCTGAGCCTGTGAACCAAGTGAAGAGGGCAGTCGGACCGATTCGACATTGACCTCTGCTCTTAGATCAGGGCGTTCTCGTATGAAATCCCATTTTCCATGGAGCTCTTGGGAATCTCAGAGACAGAGTTATCCACATAAATTTGAGAGTTCAAGGGAATAACGAGAAAGGTTCAGGAATTAAGCTTGTTCTCATCCTGATGTAAGTATTCTCTTGGTCCCTGGGCAAGAGACCAAGTAAACCCATGCCTGGATTTACTCTCTTTCTGCTATACCCGCCCAAGTGCCCTGTGAGGTTCACTCACTTCTGTGTTAGAAAGGACCTACACCTCCGGAGTCCTAGAAGGAAACATTTATTCATGGAAAGAGCCCAAGCTTTTGAATTCTATAGGGTCCAATTAAACTGAGTCAATCACCAGCTTGGGTAGGTTACTTAACAGAATATCCATATCACAAGTATAATTACATAAAAGGAAAATCATGATACCTACACATAGGATGTTAGGAGGAGTGAGAGAGGATTTATAGAAAGTACTGTCCTGTGTCTGAATGGAGTGGTTTCTCAATATGTATTATTTCCCTTCTTTACTTCCTCCTTCCTATCATACTAAATTCAGTCCACCATCAACTCAGGTCCCTGAATCCCACTCAAGTCACCTTTTGCCCATAAATCAGTGAAACCCAAAGTAAGACTCCCTGTCTGTGGTCATCCAGTCACCTTCCCTCAGTACTAAGAGTTTGCCTCCACAAACTCTCCACTCGAGTCAGTAGTATAGACTCCTTTACCTCCAATACAGAGACTACAGACACCATTGCTGCCTTACATTTTCCCAGTGCAGAAAAATCCTACTGTGTCTTTGGGGAAATGCATATCTTTGGGGAAATGCATAACCGTGGAGTGCCATGGTCATTTTGTCCTGTCACAGGTAGTGAATGCACACTTTGTCTCCTCTTTCCTCTCTCCTCCTTCAGGCTTAAACCTGTGGGATTGGGGTTGGATTATCCTCACCTCACCCATTATAAGGTGGAAATAAAAATGCAACATAGCTCTATTTCCCAAAAAGAATAAATGGTGATAAAAGACTGTGTTCTGAGATCATGGAGATCACCATCCCCCATACTCCAACCCAAGGAGAGCCTGTTCCCACAGTGGTGGCTCTCGAGAGCAGCTGCCCTGCACTTACTGGGAAAGTCTCTGGCCTCAGCCACTGGGGTGCTCAGCATCACCAGCATCACGGTCACAGCTGCTGCCCAAAAGCCTCCAGGGATCTGCAGAGCCATCTTCCAAGACATAAGTGAGACCAAGGAAAAAGCAGTGGTAGTCAACACAGCTCAAACCTAATGGATCTTATGTACCTGCCGGAAAGAATAAAAACCTCTGGATGTTTCCATGTGTGGTAGGATTGGGGAGTCCCTAGGAAAGGAACCAATCAGCACTGGAGCTGAAGGACCTCATCTGCCTCTGGGCAGACATTTTTCTGTGAAGATTCTCACTCCAATGCCTGGCACTGTTTCTTCTTCAAATTGCACTAGATGAACATTTGAGGTGAAGATTTCTGAATAGCTGAAGATTGAATGGCTTAGGGGTTTTAAGAAGCAAAAGACAAATGTGATTCAAGAGTAGACATCTTACAACCTATTGTTCTTATACTTGGGAGTTTTAGTAGGGCAAATTAAGTGAGGATCATATTTCAGGGAACAGAAAATTGTCACAGAAATGTTCACTTCTATTAGACACTCTGAGGAGCCTTAAGTTTTGGTGAGAAGAGCAAAGTTCTTAGAAGGAAATGATGGTGAGTTGCAGTTCTACCACTAATGTGCTTTATGAGAGTCAACAAATTACTGAACTCCTTTTCACCCCCAGGCTTCTCTTTGCAAAATGTGGATCATGTTTTATGCATTTTACATCTAGATCTTCACATATACAAATTTAACATTAATATGACTAGTTTAATATTACAAAAGCCTCCTCCACTGTTATGTGTAACTATCAAGCTAATAGGAGGAACAAGAAAAAAAAAAGTTGACACCCAGCCCTACTGGCAAGTGATTCTTTATTATGCAAGAAGGTATTGCATTCATGCTCTTCGAGTGAAAGTATTTGTTGACTTTTCTCTTGTAAGTTCTTCAGCTGCTTAAATCCTCCCTGAACCATGAAACAGGTGCATCTGATATGAGCAAAGGCACAATACACAAATTTTACAGTATTCAGACACAGTCACATTTAGTTTTGAAGATAGAGAACAAAAGCTGTGAAGAAGAATTTCCTGGGGGCTGAATCGTATTAATGATGGAGCAAATGTTTAGAGTTACAGGTCATATTGGGCCAGCCCTAAACATCAAATCCAAAATGGCAGAGGTACCAATGTGTTTTTATAAATAAATTTCTTACTTATCAGGCTTACGTTGCCCATGGCTAGGGATAGTACTAATGGTTATAAAGCAATTAAAACAATGCCTGACAAACATTACTGGTAATCCTAACCAAGACAATAAATATCTCCACCTCTCTTCTTGTCTCCCTTCCTCCCACTCTTCCCTGTATATTAGTAAAGTAGAAGATAGAGAGCATCTAAAAGCAGAATATGTTTACCAGGTAAAAAGAAACAGGGAAGAGACGGTAGCAAGAGGTTTGCAATAGTGGCACATGAAAGCATTGAGCCACTCTAATATTCTGTATTATTCTGTGCATAGATTTAGATCACCTGAGACTGGGAACGTTGTTACTGGGCTTCTAGCAGCAGTGGTGTACTCAGGATCAGGGTAACCCCCAGTCTAAGGAGGGTCTCCACTGGTGCGATGGAAGCATAAAGGAGGAACATCAAACTCAGACCTAGAACGGAACTGGGGGCAAGAAAGAATAGGCAGAGAGGGACCTGAAGATGCCCTCAATGTCCTCTCAGTCCCCACCTCAGCGTCCCTCAGAATAGAGGCCTCTGGCCCACCCCTTCTTCCTGTTCAAAGGGAGAAACTTCCCTCAGGTTTATTCTGGGGCTGTGAGGCAAAGTCTACGTCAAACCTAGGGACTCCCCAGTCTCATGGGCCTCTTCAAACAGACTTTTTTCTTTTCTTTTCCTTTTTTTTTATTTTCCTTTTTTCTTTTCTTTTCTTTTTTAGGGACAGGGTCTGGCTCTATCACCTAGGCTGGAGTACACTGGCATGATCATGGCACACTGCAGCCTCAACCTCTTAGGCTCAAGTGATCCTCCTGTCTGAGCCTCCCAAGTAGCTGGGAGTACAGGCACACACCGCCATTCTGTCTAATTTTTAAAAAAATTTTTATAGAAATAGGGTTTTGCTATGTTGCCCAGGTTGGTTTCAATGTCCTGGCCTCAAGCAATCCTCCCACCTCGGCCTCCCAAAGCACTGGGATTATAGGTGTGAGCCACCACACCTGGCCACACAGACTTTTCAACTAGCAACGAAAGTGTCAGCTTAGAGCCATTTTCTGACTGGCTAAAACCTCATCTGAGGCCAGGCGCAGTGGCTCACCCCTGTAATTTTCTAGCGCTTCAGGAGGCCAAGGCAGGCAGATCACTTGAGGTCAGGAATTTGAGACCAGCCTGGCCAACATGGTGAAACCCGTCTCTACCAAAAATAAAAAAAATTAGCCGAGTGTGGTGGTGCATGCCTGTAATCTCAATTACTCAGTAGGCTGAGGTAGGCGAATCGCTTGAACCCAGGAGGCAGAGGTTGCAGTGAGCTGAGTTCGCACCATTGCACTCCATTGCACTCCAGCCTGGGGGACAAGAGCAAAACTCTGTCTCAAAACAAAACAACAACAAAAAAAAAACACCTAATCTAAAAGGCTTTGGTTTGGGGCTTCTGCCAGTTGTGTCCCCCTGATCCAGCCTTCTTTACAGTTCTTTGCAATGTTCCTATCCCTGCTCCATTACTCAGGGCAGCCACTATTGGCCTGGCCAGAGGAAGGCAACTCAGACAAGCATCCTGATTCTGAATGCCTCACCCAAATCACCTGCCCGGCCTCTGATGGGGACAGAGCGCTTAGGATGAGACCACACACACCCCATGTGGGAAGATGGGATAAAGACACTGCTGTTATTACGGGTCAAGGTTACACTAGGGAGACTCCCCAGGGCACATTGTCTCTTCTTTCAGGGCAGAAAAAGGTTGTGGACTCCTTCTTTGTGGAATCAAGGGAGAAATCATCTTCCCTGGTCAGCATCTCTTAGAATCTGTGCTTGGTCAGTGCAGTTGAATGTAAACACAGGAGTCATCCTGTCACCAGAAGGGTTATCCAGGACTCTGTCCTGCAATTACTTCCAGAATCAAGAAACACTGTAGAGTCAGAAAGGTTCTGTGGCCTCCTTAATGCCAGTGGTAACAGAAATACAGCCCCAGAATATCATTTTCCTTTAATAAAAATTTATCAAGTAATTATCTCCAAATTTTTCAAAACCTTGTGAAGCTACTTACATATTTCTCTTATATCAACTTTTAGGTAACCGGTTACATGAATTTTTCATGACACATATAAGGTAGGCCTTTTCTCTTTAAACAGTTATCTCTTTAAAATGACAATTTAGAAAATCTGAAGAGAGAGTCTGTAGCATTCAGAGGCTGTGCTCAAACAGTGCCTCCTTCAAGCAAGTAACCATGGGGAGACTCCATAGTGGAAGTCAGGTAAGGACTTGGAGGATACCGCAGGGTGAAGGACTAGGAGTATGGGAAAAGCTTTAGCAGGAAGATAGAAAATCAGATGATACAAGGCATTTGGGACACTTGGGGGAAATGGGGAAGGTGAGTGATCTCTGGCACAGGAGTCCAGAGCCCACCAGTCTCATGGCTTCTCATGCAGTATGGAAATGGCCCTTGAAAACAGAAGAAGACTGGGATGAAAACCCAGGCTGCCTGCTATGGACGTGTGTACAACGGAGCTTTGTTTCCTGATCTGTTTCTACAGGTTTCTTCTTCCAGTCAATCTCATCCATGCATCACCTCAGCTGGACCACTGACGATTTCATCACCCAGAGCTAACCTACACATGTCACTCTTTGCAACATATCTGTTCGTCTCTACTTCTGGTTCCCTAGTAATGCCTGGGATATTTCCAGAGACAACTCTTCCCCAGCTTCTAGATTTGTAGTCATCATGTGCCTTCATTCCCAGACAAACCTTAAATATCTTTCTATGAGATCTTTATAATGTCTTCTTCTACAAGTTCTTACCAGTAGAGAGAAGAACTAATATTCAGGTATGTAAAAAATATTTCAGTCCTATTTAAGCTCATGTCCAAGTACTCAAGAATTCAAGTGTCCAGCTCAGCTCAAGGTCATGGTTCATGCAAAAAAGCAACATTAGTAGTAATATTTTGGGGGGACTACTCATATCCTCAAATAAGGAAACTTAAGATATTCAATTTAAACCTCAATGACATATCAATCCATGCTTTTCAGGATGACTATTATCAAAAAGACAAAAAGTAACAAGTGTTAACAAGGACGTGGAGATAAGGGAACATTTGCACACTGTTGGTGGGAATGTAAATTAGTATGGCCACTAGGGAAAACATGATGAAGGTTCTTCAAAAAGTTAAAATAGAACTGCCATATGATGTAGCAATCCCACTTCCAGGATACAGACAAAGGATTTTAAATCAGTAGGTTGAAAATATATCCACACTCCCATGTTCATTGCAGCATTATGCACAATAGTCAAGGTATGAAATCAACCTGTGTCATTCAGCAGATGAATGGGTAAAGATAATGTATGTATACACAATGGAATTCTATTCAGGCTTTAAAAAGAAAGAAATCCTGGTGTAAGCCGAAAAGTGACTGAGGCAGGTCTCAATCAATTAGAGGTTTATTTTGCCAAGGTTCAGGATGCACCTGGGAAAAACACAAATCACAGGAGCATCTATGATCCATGCTTATTCCAAAGAGGGTTTTGAGAACTTCAATGTTTAAAAAGAAAGAGTAAGCAGGAAGGGAAAGAGAGAGGAAAAAAAAAAAAGGAGGGAAGGTAGGCAATGACACAAGTGGTTACATTCTTGTGAGTCTGATTAGTCTCAGTAAATCTACATTTTACATGTGAAAAGAGGGAGTAGAGGAAAAAGTCACTTATGCAAAAACAATAACATTGTAGAATCTTCCCAAAAGATTCACTTTCTATTCTCACAGACCGACAATTCCACTCAAGTTAATTACTGCAAAAGCATCCTAACTGGTCTTCCTGCCTCTACTTTATAATGTCAACATTGCTCATAAATCCAAGTTAATCTCTCTGAGTATGAGTTTCTTTAACTGCAAAATGAGGATATTATCTATTCCATAGAGTAATGCCAAGGATTAAATGAAGTGGCAAATATATAGCATCTAAAATAGTTTTGAACACATAGTAGATGCTCAATAATAATTTTTTTTAATTTTTAATATAATTTTAATTCAATAGCTTTTAGGTTACAAGTGGTTTTTTGTTATATGGATGAATTGTATAGTGGTGAAGCCTGGAATTTTAGTGAACCTGTTACCTGAGTAGTGTGCATTGTACTCAATATGTAGTTTTTTATCCTTCACCCTCCTTCCCATCCTCCCCACTTTCTTACTCTCCATTGTCCTTTATACCATTCTGTATGCCTTTGAGTACCCATAGCTTAGTACCCACTTAGCTCCTACTTACAAATCAGAACATATGGTATTTAGTTTTCCATGCCTCAATTAGAAGTTGTAAATTTTGATGGAGTCCAATTTATATATATTTTTTTCATTTCTTGCCTATGCCCTTGGTGTTATATCCAAGAAATCATTGCCTAATCAAATATCATGAAGATTTTCCCTATTTTTTTAAGAGTTTTATGGTTTTAGTTTTCACATTTAGGTCTTTGATTCATTTTGAGTTCATTTTGTCTATAATGTAGGGTAAGAGTCCAGTTTCATTCTTTTGTATGTGGACTTCCAGTTTTCCCAGCACCATTGTTGAAAAGGCTGTCCTTTCTGCATTTAATGGCCTGGCACTCCTGTTGAAAATCGTTTGACCATATATGTCAGGATAATTTCCTGGTTTTGATATTGCACTTTAGTTATGTAAGATGTTACAATTGGGGAAAACTGGATGAAGGCTATACAGAATCTTTTTGTTCTATCTTGGTAACTCCCTTTGAAACTACAATTATTTCAAAATATAATGTTAAAAAAGCAAAGCCAACCAAAATAATGTGTTTATCTTTTAACAAACTAATTCCATAAGATACCTAATAAAAATTACCCAATGTGAAATACAAAGAGAAAAGAAGAGCAGGGGAAAAACAAAACAGAGCATCCAAGAGCTGCAGTGCTGTATTGAATGGTTACATCACCTTTGTTTGTTTGTTTGTTTGTTTGTTTGTTTGTTTGTTTGTTTTGAGACAGGGTGTCACTCTGTTGCCCAGGCTGGAATGCAGTGGTGCGATCACAGCTCACTGCATCCCCCACCCTCGCCCCCAACTCAGGCAGTCCTCCCGTCTTAGCCTCTTGAGTAGCTGGGAATACCAGCACCATGCTTGCCCACTTAATTTTTCTCTTTTTGTAGACAAGGTCTCCTTATGTTGCCCAGGCTGCTCTTTAGGTTCAAGCATTCCTCCCACCTCAGCCTCCCAAAGTGCTGAGATTACAGATGTGAAACATTGTGCCAGGCTTATTTTTTTAATGTACTTTTACTCTCTTTCTCTCTTTGTGTTTCACTCTGGGTAATTTTTATTGATCTATTTCAAACTCACTGATTCTTCCCAGGGCTGTACCACATTTGCTGATGAGCTTGTCAAATGCATTCTTTATTTTTGTTAATTTATTTTTATTTTATTTCCATTTCATTCATCCTTAAAGCTTTCATATCTCTGCTGAAACTGTCTAATCTTGCATGTTGTCTACCTTTTCCATTAGAGATTTTAGTATGTTAATCACAGTTTATGAAGCAGGTTTACTAATTACCAATACCAAGGGAGGAAAGGGAGGACTTCCACTGCATGGAGAATAGAAAAGATCATCACTATGCCAACCACCAGGAAAAGAGGTCCAGATACTTCTTCCCACTGCATTCTGAGCTACTGTTTATGTCCACCATGCACTGGCTACCTGTTTATCTGAGTCTGGTGAAACAGAACACACTCACACACAAATTATGTGAAGCAGTTTTATTACTTACAAATCAGTAGCAAGGGACAGAAGAAGCCTCAGCTCCATTGTGAGTCAGTCTCCTAAAGCTCAAGAAAGCTGCCCAGGAGAGATGAAGTCTTAACCGCACCAATTACTCTATTATAGCCTAAAGTGTAAGTCACAGCTCAAACTCTTGATCACTTCATTCATATTACATGTTCCAAAAAACAACCACAGGAAAACTTCTCCAACAGTAACTTTGCATGAACTCATGTGTTCTGTCAATCGAGAAAAATGGCAAGTCTCAATCATTTTAAGAGGTTTATTTGCCAAAGTTAAGAATAAGCACCCAGGAGACAGGTCTATACCTTTCTCCGAAGATAATTTTGAGGGCTCTAAATTTAAGGGGAAAGGATAGGGATATTGAGAAGTACACAATTTTCATGTAAGAGGAGGGTAAGGAAAAATAGTCATTCATGCCTTTGTCTGGCTCAGTTAATCTGCATTTTTTTTACATAAGATGACATAGACAAAACGGGGGAAGGGGAACAATTAGATATGCGTTTGTGGCCGGGCGCGGTGGCTCATGCCTGTAATCCTAGCATTTGGGGATGCTGAGGCAGGCAGATCACTTGGGGTCAGGAGTTTGAAACAGGCCTGGCCAACATGGTGAAACCCTGTCTCTACTAAAAGTACAAAAAAAAAAAATTAGCCAGGCATGGTGGCAGATGCCTGTAATCTCAGCTACTTGGGAGGCTGAGGCAGGAGAATCACTTGAACCCGGGAGGTGGAGGTTGCAGTGAGCCAAGATCGCGCCACTGCACTCCAGCCAGCATGACAAAGCGAGACTCCGTCTGAAAAAAAAAAAAGAAAGAAAAAAAAGATATGCATTTGTGTCTTCTGGGCAGGGGCGTGACTACACCTGTAAAGATAAGCTACCAATTTACATTGCCATGGTAAAATTTTAACAGAAACACCTTAGAGTAAAGATCTTGCAGCTCACAAGGACTTTCCTTGTGGACAAAATATGAGGGAGGCATGTAGCTTTTCATTTTGTAGCCATCTTATTTAGGAACCAAAAAGGGGGAGGCGGGTTTTCGCAACCCCGATCCCAGATTAACTTTTCCCTTAGGCTTAATGAGTTGGAGTCCCAAGATTTAATTTCCTTTCATAGTTCTAAAACTATGACCAAGTGTTCATTTCTTCCTGATAGGCACTTAGCACACTGACCATGTGCCTTAAATTGTCCATATGATGCGAAGAGCTATAAATCCATGGAGTCGTAAGTTTGGGGATACCAACCACAATCCATCTGCAGCAGAAGTGGTTCCTTTGGAACCAAGCTTGAACAGGTCTAAAAACTAGGTTGTTCTTCTGGTTTAGTGACAGAGACTACTATCCCAGATGAAAATACAATAGTCTTTTAGTGCTTCTATGCATGGTCATGTCTGTCAGTAGACACTAAAACAATCATAATTCAAGAACAGAGTAAATAGTAACATAGACCCTTCTGGAATAGTTGTCTCTGTCACCAAAACAGAAAAACAAACTAGACTAAATTCAGAGGATGAGGGGAATCAAGAATGGCTTGTGAAGGAGGGAAACAAATATTAGTTACAGTCATAATGACAACTATAATAGTAGACACTGTAGCAAATTTCACTAACTTTCTTGCCTTAATCTTCTAGATCACAATTGATCACTCTTGTACCTCCCTTCTTGAGGAAAAATTAAAATGTGTTAATTTTCTCAGGAAAAAAAATGAAAGGCACCATATTGGACTATGGGAGCTTGGAATTCTGAATCACCACCTGGAGAAAAGTGACTCACAAATCTTCAATATCCTCCTTCTGCTACATTAGTGAGTTATAAACTTCTACTATATTTCAGCCACAATACACTTTTTAGTCTATTTGTTGCAGCAGTTTGGCCTATTCTAATTAGTATAAAAAGAAGAAAAAATAATCATAGAAAAAAATTAAATGAAGAATATAACAATTTTAATAGTTTCTCCTGACTTAGACTCACCTGAAATGATCCTCATTCTTTGTTTTAGGATTAGCAGAGATGTAAGACAGAATTTCATGAAAATATTCAACCTGGTGGATGATGCCAAATTAGCAGTTAGCGTGTGTGCCTGGAATTCAAACCATACAAATCCTCCCTGCCCACCTCTCATCCTATCCTTTAGAGCAGAGCCTGTTTCTCATATATTGCCCCCAAGTCTATATCAATCAAATTAATTTTTATTATCCTGAAAACACCTATAGAAAGACTAACATGTTGAAAGTTATATTTAAATATGGGCACTCTGCTTCATACTCTTTTGCCAATATTACTTCAAAGCTGTACAAACCTATATTCTTTGCATTTGTGGGAAATTATTATATTGTAGATAAGGCTAAAATATTTTGTGAATCAAAACATACTATAAAAAGTTGGAAAGAAAGACTTCATTTGGATGTAAATACATGAAAATAGCAGCCCAGACACTCAAGACAAGAGGAATAATAACTAAGTGACCACAAAGGAAATTTTTTATCACATGCCTGGCTGTTCCAGACAGGGAAGCTTGCTTTACCTGAAGGAAGTGGTCACTAGACCAGAATGTAACCAAATACAGGATTCTGCTTTAAAAAAAAAAAAAAAAAAGATTCACAAAAGTCACGTTCAAGTTAAACCATTAAATACTTTCTTCTCCAACTAATGAGAAGATGTGGGGCCTCATTAATTCTCTCTGGCAGATTAGGTCAATGAATCCATTCCAGAAAAAAAATTATTGAAAAGAGCAATAAATATACAAAATATCAAAGCAGTCATGTGTGCAATTCACAGAAAAGAATAGAAATTTACTTAAGGACAGAAAGAAGTTTAGTAAACAATGATACCACTTTCTTGGACAGGGCAATTTGTGTCACTTTTCCAGACAAAATACATGGACTTGGTGATGCTTTAATCTAAATAGTAATAAGACAGTTTTATTAACAAAATGTTTCTAACTTTCAAGAGCGGTATACAAAAACAACTATTGATAAAAATAAGGAGAGGTACTCTAATAGATGTTTACAAATGATTATAAAGCTAAACAATTAAAACATGTTCATAGTGCCCCAAAAAAAGGACAACTGTGGAATGATATTGGCTGCACATAAACAGAACCTAATTTATGCCACAATTAATGAAATTGAAAATTTTGTTTACAATAGCCCCCTCTTATCCATGGGAGATATGTTGCAAGGCACCCCAAAGGATGCCTGAAGGCATGTACCAAACTCTGTATATGCTATGTTTTTCTACACATACAAACATATGATATAGTTTAATTTACAAATTGTGCAGTCATAGGTTAACAACAATAACTAATAATAAAATAGAACAATTATAACAATATACTGTAATAAAAGTTATGTAAATGAGATCTGTCTCTCTCTTTCTCTGTCTCTTTCTCTCTCCCCTCTTCTCAAAATATCTTATTGTACTAAACACCTATATTTTCACACTGTGATTGATTGACCACCAGTAACTGAAACTGTGGAAAGTGAAACCATCGATAAGGGAGGACCACTGTATTACATTTCTAGGAAGTCGCAAACCCTTTGAGAAAATTTTGGGATGGGAGACAAACATATTTCTAAGAAGCCTTCAATGTTACAGGTTATATTCTTCACTTCTTCAAGGTACATAAGGGCCCACTCTACTCTTCTGGAGTCTATCCAAATTTGTAGGGTAATGGGCTGTAGCTAATGAGGAATGGAACTCAGTGGGATGTAAGGGGTCCGGAAACAAGTTTTTTGAAATATACTTGATTGTCATGACACCAATATGGAACGAAAGAGAAAGCAGCATAGTGATGAGGAAATTATGGTGAGATTTTTAGGACAAGAAGCTATTTTAAAAGAATTTTAAATCATTTTTCTTGGTGTTAGAAATACAATCCTAATTTGATATTTTTCAAGAGGTTGCAATATAATTTGAAGTATTTGAAATGGAGTACGGGGAAATTTGCTCTGGCCTCTCTAAAGAACATCATACTGGGACTGCTTTCAAGGATAGAACAAGTTATCCTGCATTTATGTTGGATAAATTAAGAATGTAGTGCATAATAAAGCAAACTTTTAATCCAGTGGAATAGGAAAAATTACTAAAAATAGTGTTGGGTCAATTAGTGAGTTAGTGGGATAGTAAAAAGAGCCCATACATACACACATACAGAGATTATACTGAGGCAGATTAAAAGTTTAAATGAGAAGGAACTCAGAACTGAGGAGGAACCACCCAGAACATGCTTGCTAGTAACACATCTTCCCACCCCCTTATGAATAATCATGTAAGACTCCCATAAAGGGAGTTTCCCCAGTAACATTCAACACTGTCTCACCCGCACAAGCAACCTGCCCTGAATTGTCTCTTGGGGTGTACTGTTGATTCTGCACCTAACTTTCAGAGTATCCTTTCTCCTTTGCAATAAATTGCTCTATGTTGTATCTCCTTTGCTGTGTGTCTCTTGTTTAAATTCTTTTAAACTAGGAAGACAAGAACCGAAGTTTCATGAAAGCCATCAACAAAAATATAGAAAAAAAAAGTAAATATTTATTTTATTAAAAAGTGGTGAGATGAGTTTAAATAACAAAACAAAGAAAGAAACCATACAGGAAAGTATTCTTAGACTATACTAAGAAAAAGTAAAGAATTAATATGTGAAAGGTATATCAATTTTAAGCATTCTGTTTATGTCAAAGGTGCTTATGGTGCAGTATGTAAAATTTAAATAAACAAAGCATATTGTATTAATTTTCTAGCCACTGTCATAACAAATTAGTAGAAACTTTGCAGCTTAAAACAACACCCATTTTTATCTCAGTTTTCTAGGTCAGAAGTCTAGGCAAAGCTCAACTGGGCTCTCTGCTTAGGATCTCACAAGACTGAAGTCACAAGCTGACCTTATAATTCTCATTTGAATATGGAGTCCTCTTCCAAGCTCACTGCCTGTTGACAGAATTTATTTCCACGTATGACTGAGGTCCATGTTTTCAAGCTGGCTATCAGCCAGGGATCAGTATCAGCTCCCAGTGACCACTCTCAGTTCCTTGCCACATGGCCCTCTACGTCTTCAAAGTCAGTAATAGGGAGTCTTTCTCATGTTTAATCTCTCTCTTCAAGAAAAGTTCAGTCCCTTTCAAGGGCTCACCTAATTAGTTCATGCTCACCTACAATAATTTCCTTTTCATAAGGCTAATTGCAGTCAAAACATAACCCAATCACAGTAGTGATCATACCATTAAATTTACTGGTTACTATTGGGAGCAAGCCCCCCAAAATCTGGCCATAAACTGGCCCCAAATTTATGGCCCCAAATTTATGGCCCAGTTTATGGCTATAAACTGGGCCATAAATAAAATCTCTGCAGCACTATAACATGTCCATAATGGCCCTAACGCCCAAGCTGGAAGGTTGTGGGTTTACGGGAATGAGGGCAAGGAACACCTGGCCTGCCCAGGGCAGAAAACCACTTAAAGGCATTCTTAAGCCACAAACAAAAGCATGAGCAATCTATGTCTTAAGGGCGTGTTCCGGCTGCAATTAATTCAACCCATCCCTTCATTTCCCATAGGAATACTTTTAGTTAATTTAATATCTATAGAAACAATGCTAATGACTGGTTTGCTATTAATAAATATGTGAGTAAATCTCTGTTCAGGGCTCTCAGCTCTGAAGGCTGTGAGATCCCTGATTTCCCACTTCACACCTCTATATTTCTGTGTGTGTGTCTTTAATTCCTCTAGCGCTGCTGGGTTAGGGTCTCCCTGACAAAGCTGGTCTCGGTAGGTTCCACCCACATTTAAAGGAAAGGAATTTTATAAGGTATGTACAACAGGGGGTGATAGATATTCCTGGGGGCCATCTTAGAATTCTGCTTTCCTTCTCACCTCTTCAGCCCTCTGGCCACCTGTAATTCATGTCCCTCTCAAATGTAAAATACATTAATCCCTTCTCAAGGACCCCCCAAAGTCTCATTCCATTACAGCCTCAGATCAAGGCCAATATCCTGTCTAAATCTTGTTAGCTCAAAGTCCAAATTCGCAGTGCCTTCATGCCAAATTACAGGACTTGAAGATGTGAGAATTAGGAACTTGACAGAATATCTAATTATAATTGCTAACAGTCATGAGATTAGTTTATTAATTAAAATCTCACCTGGGAACCAAGTGTATAAATGTCATTGAATCCCTGGGGATAGAGACAGGGAAGCACAGGGATCTGATGATATTCATAGTCACTTAACAAAAAAGACTAGGTGGTATTTTTTTCACCCACACCTAGCTTTGCTGGCATTGAGAAGACACACCTAAGAGAATAATTAATCATACCTACAGGACTCCTTCTTCACCGAGACAGAATAACAATGAAGTCATTATTATTGGTGTCATCTGCACTCTACTTATTTATACTTCATATACTTACATAGTATATACCAGAACACTTAAATTAATTTCATCTCCAATTACTGTATATTCTTTTTTTTTTTTTTTTGAGACAGAGTCTCACTCCATTGCCCAGGCTGGAGTGCAGTGGCACAATCTTGGCTCACTCTGCAACTTCCATCTCCTGGGTTGAAGGGATTCTCCTGCCTCAGTCTCCTGAGTAGCTGGGATTACAGGCATGTGCCACCACACCCGGCTGATTTTTGTATTTTTAGTAGAGACAGGGTTTCCCCATGTTGGCCAGGCTGGTCTCAAACTCCTGAACTCAGGTAATCCGCCTGCCTCGGCCTCCCAAAGTGCTGCGATTATTTTGTATTCTAGATGTCGATTTTGCTGTGTTAATTAATTTCCTGATGATTGCAATAGAATACCTGAAACTGGGTAATTTATAAAGAATCAAAATTTATTTCTGGAGGCTGGGAAGTCCAAGAGCATGGTGCCAGCATCTGGTGAGAGCCTCCTTGCTAGTGGGGACCCTCTGCAGAGTCCCATTGTGGTGCAAGGCATCACACAGCAAGCAGGCTGAGAGGGCTACCTCAAGTATCTCTTTCTCCTCTTATCAAACCCTTAGTGCCCCATCACCCCATCCTCATGACCTCATCTAATACTAATTACTTCTCACATGTCCCACCCCTAAAATATCATGGTCTGTTTTCTTACCCTTTTATTCTGTTACAATAGGGATTAAGTTTCTACATAAGATTTAGAGGAGCAAACTTTCAAACCATAGCATTTCACCCCTGCAGCCTCAAAACTCATATTCTTCTCACATTCAAATACATTCATTTTATCCCCAGAGCCCCAAAGTCTTAACTTTCTCTAGTACCAACTCAAAAGTCCAAAAGTCCAAAGTCCTTATCTGTGAGCCTGAGATACTAAAGCCAATTATCTACCTCCAAGATACAATGCTGGGACAGGAGAAATGGGCCAGAAGAAAGAAGTAACAGGCCTCAAGGAAGTCTGAAACTCAACAGGGAAAGACATTAAATTTTAAAGCTGGAAATAATGTCTTTTGACTCCATGTTCCTCATCCTGAGCACACAGGGGCAGAAGTTGGGCCCCCAAGACCTCAGGCAACCCTGCCCTCATGGCTTTGCTGGTTGCAGCCCACATATGGCTGTTCTCATGGGTTGGAGTCAGGTGCCTTGGGTTTTCGAAGCTGGGACTGCATGCTGGTAGCTCTACAGTTTTGGAGTCTTGGTGGCAGTCCCACTGTCACAGCACCACTAGATATTTCCCTGGGGAGGACTCCCTGTAGCAGTTCCAACCCCACAGTTCCTCTCAGCATTGCCCTAGCAGAGGCTCTTGGTGGTTGAAGGGGTGGGTCGCCCCTCCACACCTGTGGGTGTTTCTCATTAGGTGGAACGAGAGACTTGGAAAAGAAAAAGACACAGAGACAAAGTATAGAGAAAGAAATAAGGGGACCCAGGGGACCAGCGTTCAGCATATGGAGGATCCCGCCGGCTTCTGAGTTCCCTTCGTATTTATTGATCATTCGTGGGTGTTTCTCAGAGAGGGGAATGTGTCAGGGTCACAAGACAATAGTGGGGAGAGGGTCAGCAGACAAACACGTGAACAAAGGTCTTTGCATCATAGACAAGGTAAAGAATCAAGTGCTGTGCTCTAGATATGCATACACATAAACATCTCAATGCTTTACAAAGCAGTATTGCTGCCTGCATGTCTCACCTCCAGTCTTAAGGCGGTTTTTCCCTATCTCAGTAGATGGAACGTACAATCGGGTTTTATACCGAGACATTCCATTGCCCAGGGACGGGCAGGAGACAGATGCCTTCCTCTTGTCTCAACTGCAAGAGGCATGTCTTCCTCTTATACTAATCCTCCTCAGCACAGACCCTTTACGGGTGTCGGGCTGGGGGACGGTCAGGTCTTTCCCTTCCCACGAGGCCATATTTCAGACTATCCCATGGGAAGAAACCTTGGACAATACCTGGCTTTCCTAGGCAGAGGTCCCTGCAGCCTTCCGCAGTGTTTGTGTCCCTGGGTACTTGAGATTAGGGAGTGGTGATGACTCTTAAGGAACATGCTGCCTTCAAGCATCCGTTTAACAAAGCACATCTTGCACAACCCTTAATCCATTTAACCCTGAGTTCGACACAGCACATGTTTCAGAGAGCACGGGGTTGGGGGTAAGGTCATAGATTAACAGCACTCAAGGCAGAAGAATTTTTCTTAGTACAGAACAAAATGGAGTCTCCTATGTCTACTTCTTTCTACACAGACACAGTAACAATCTGATCCCTCTTGCTTTTCCCCACAGTGGTGGCCCTGCCCCTGTGGCAGTTTTCTCCCTGGGTTCCCAGGCAGTCTGATACATCCTTTGAAATCTAGGTGGAGATTTCTATGCCTTCCCACTAGTCTTGCATCCTGAAGACCTGCAGAAATAGCACCACATGCATGTGGACATTGCCAAGGCTTACTGCTTGTGCCCTCTGCAGCTACAATATGAGTCACATCTAGGGACACTTGAGCTATGGCTGGAGCAACCAGGATGAGGGAAGCACTGTCCTGAGGTGGCATTGGGCAGCAAGCCCATGGAGGACACCCCAGGCCTGTCTCCTGAAACCATTCTTTCCTCCTAGAGCTCTGGGCCTGTGATGGCAGGGGTAGACTTGAAGATCTCTAAAGTGCATTCAGTGTTTGTCTCCCATTGTCTTGATGAATAGCTTCTGGCTTTATTCTATTCATACAATTCTCCTTATCAATCAGTCCCTCCTTATCAATCATTCCTTCAGACACACCCTTGGTTTCCTCTGTTGAAAATGCTCTTTCAGGGCCAGGCTGCAAAATTTCCTAATCTTTCCACTTAGCTTCCCTTTTAATTATAAATTCCACCTTTAAGTTATTTTTTACCTCTCACAGCTTTAATGTAAGCAGTTAAAAGTAGCCATGCAGCTGCCTGACTGCTTTGCTGCTTAGATATTTCTTCTGCCATATAGCCTAATAAAACCATCAGATATAGACACAATTCAGAACCAAGTTTTTCACGCATTTATAACAAGGATGGCCTTTACTTCAGTTTCCAATTCCTTGTTCCTCAGACCTGAGACCTCAGCAGAACAGCCCTTACTGTCCATATTTCTATTGACATTCTGGTCCTGACCACTCAAATCATCACAAAGGAGTTCCAGACTTTTCCTAGTCTTCTTGACTTCTTCTAAGCCCTCACCAAAATCACCCTTTATCACCAGAATTGACATTTAAGGCAATACAGGCTTTTTCTCGCCTGCCTTTTTGAGTTCTTTTAACCTCTACCCATTACCCAGTTCCACAGCTGCTTCCACATTTTCAGATATTTGTTATTAGCAACAGCCCAACTTTTTAGTACCAATTTTCTGCCTTAGTCTGTTTCTTGTTGCTTGTAACAGAATGCCAAAAATTGGGTAATTTATGAAGAAACAAAATTTATCTCTTATGGTTCTGGAGGATGAGAAGTCCCAGAGCATGGTGCCAGCATCTGGTGAGAGTCTTCTTAGTGGTGGGCCTTCTGCCGAGTTCTGATGAGGTGCAGAGCATCATGTGACAAGAGGGCAAAGGGGTATGGCTCAAGGTCTCTGTTTCTCCTCTCAATGCCCCACCCTCAAGACCTCATCTAATCCTAATTACTTCCCAAAGGTGCCACCTCTCAAATACCATAGTTGGATTTACAGCCCTCTTAATACTATTACTATGGGGATTAAGTTTCAATATGAGTTTCAGAGAAAATAAACATTCAAACCATAGCATTGCCCATCTCTTTTACTCTCCTCCCTCCTCTTCTTTTCTGTACTCCACTGTCCCTGTCCAGAGGTTTTATTTAGCCACTCCACCTCAGCCCATCAGGCTTCCAATCAAAATCCCAGTTCTTCAGTGATCATTCAGATTTATTGTCCTGTTGTAATATCTGGAACAATAACAATCTTCTCAGGACAGTTGTTTTTTATTTGCTTCAGTTCCTTTTGAGAAAGTTATTCTGTGTCTTCTCACTTCCTTATATCTATAGCATACAAGTGTTTGAAAACATTCTCCTCAACCTCCTTTAAAATCATGGGGAGCCTAACCTCAGCTCCTAGCCAGAAGCAGAAAGTCAAAATTTGGCTCTCTTTCCTCCATAGAGCACTTTTGGTTTCTTTCCCACTTAGGAATTAAATTCCCAGCCAATAATGCCTACTTTCAGGCATAGAAGTCAAGACTTCAGCCCTACTCACCATATGCATATCTATCTTATTTGAAGTTCTCAGGAAGAACTTTTGTATCTACACTCATACTTTTTAATCCTTTTTAGTACATTGCTTCATATAGCTTTCTTGGTGGTGGTTGTACTTATTACAATATATACATATAACTTATCACAGTCTACTGGTATTGATGTTTTACCACTTTGAGTGAAGGATACAGTCCGTATCTCTATTACCATTAGCATATTTTACCCTCTCTACTTTTTAAATGCAATTGTATTAAGTATTTCTTCCACATGCATTCCCATCCACAGTTTGGATATTTGTCCACTCCAAATCTCATGTTGAAATTTGATCCCCAATGTTGGAGGCAGGGCCTAATGGGAGATGTTTAGACCATGGGGGCAGATCCCTCATGAATGGCTTTGTGCTAATGTCATGATCCTAATGCTTGTTTTATTCCTCAATGTCATCATTGATTCAACCATAGCTTTTATTTTTAATTTGCTTTTTGTTTGTTTGTTTTCTTTTCTTAACTATTATTTTAAGTTCGGGGTACATGTGCAGTTTTGTTACATAGGTAAACTGTTTCATGGAGGTTTGTTGTACAGATTATTTTGTCAAACAGTTATTAAGCCTAGTACTTATTAGTTATTTTTCCTGATCCTCTCCCTCTTCCCACCCTCCACCCTCTGATAGGCCCCAGTGTGTGTTGTTTTCCTTTATGAATTCATGTGTTCTCATAATTTAGCTCCTATTTATAAGTGAGGACAAACAGTATTCGGTTTTCTGTTCCCCCATTAGTTTGCTAGGGATAATGACTTTCAGCTTCATCCATGTCTCTGCAAAGGACATGATTTTGTTTCTTTATGGCTGCATAGTATTCCATGGTGTATATGTACCACATTTTATTTATCTAGTCTATCATTGATGGGCATTTAGGTTGATTCCATGTCTTTGCTATTGTGAATATGCTGCAATGAACATATACATGCATGTGCCTTTATAATAGAAAGATTTATATTCCTTTGGGTATATACCCAGTAATAAGATTGCTGGGTTGAATGGTATTTCTGTCTTTAGGTCTTTGAAGAATCTCCACACTGTCTTCCCCAATGATGAACAAAACCTCTGAGAAATATGGGGTTATGTAAAGAGTCCAAATCTATGACTGATTGGTGTCCCTGAAAGAGACGGAGAGAATGGAACCAACTTGGAAAACATAGTTCAGGATATCATCCATGAGAACTTCCCCAACCTAGCTAGAGAGACCAACATTCAAATTCAGGAAATGTACAGAACCCCAATAAGATACTTCACAAGACTTTTATCCCCAAGACACACAATTATCAGCTTCCCCAAGGTCAAAATGAAAGAAAAAAATGTTAAAAAATAAAAAATAAAAACAACTAGAGAGAAAGATCAGGTCACCTACAAAGGGAAGTCCATCAGACTAACAGCAGACCTCTCAGCTAAAACCCTACAAGCAGAAGAGATTGGAGGCCAATATTCAATATTCATAAAGAAAAGAAATTCCAACTCAGAGTTTCATAATTGGCCAAATGAAGCCTCATATTGAAGGAGAAATAAGATCCTTTTCAGACGGGCAAATGCTGAGCAAATTCATTACCACCAAACCTACCTTACAAGAGCTTCTGAAGGAAGCACTAAATATGAAAAGGAAAGACTGTTACCAGCCACTACAAAAACACACTGAAGTACACAGACCAGTGACACTATAAAGCAACCACATAAACAAGTCTGCAAATTAACCAGCTAACATCATGATGACAGGAGCAAATCCACACATATCAATACTAACCTTAAATGTAAATCAGCTAAATACCCCAATTAAAAGACACAGAGTGACAAGCTGGATAAAGAACCAAGATGTATTGGTATGCTGTCTTCAAGAGACTCATCTCACATGTAATGACACACAGGCTCAAAATAAAGAGATGGAGAAAAATCTACAATGCCTTTTTTCCTTAAAATTTGTTTTTTACATTAATAAATTGATATCATTTTTCAAAATTAGTATTTGCATGATATATCCTTTCTGTCTTTTACACTCAATCTCTGAAATGACTTTTATGCTTTAGACATATGTCTTGTAAACAGTATAATCTGAATTTGTATTTTTGCATTCAATTTGTCAGTCTCTGTCTTTTGATCACAAGTCAAGTCTATTTGCATTTTACTGAAATAAATAACATATATGGACCTTTATATTATCTCACATTTTTCATTTCGGTCTTTTCCATGATTTCAATGACTTTTTTCCTGTTAGCCCATTTCTATAACCCATTCTAGCATGTGTATCAGGCTGGGATGGCAGGTGGATTCATTCTAACCTCTACCTTGAGATGTGTTTTCAGACTCTGTTAAGGTTTACATTGCTCATTTCTGGCATCCTCCTTCACATAAGAATTACTGATCCAGGCCCAGCCATTTGTAGATTTTGAGACATTGTTCTGGCTGTCTGCATATGGCCTGTCTCTGGACTTAACATCCCATGTCCTCACTCAGACTACATAACTTTAGACCCACCCTATTACTATGGACTCCCTGTCTATTTGTATTTTTTCAGCAAAACGTCTAAAAGTAATTATCAATATTCTTGAAACATTAACTTGATAGATTCTTGTAAAATCACATAATCTATTGAAAATTATATGGGTGCTCTAAACTATACCCCCTGGATAATCTTACCTGTACACAGTTTGAATAGATGTCCTTTACAGCTAGAATAATGATACTAGTTAAAATCAGAGGACTAATCCATGGGTAGATCATTTCAAAATTTACTCTGAGGCTTAAAAGGAAATATATTTTGTAAAGCAAGAAAGTATATTTTCCAAGATCCAATTAGCAATGAAGGCATCCTAATAGTATCTGGGATCCTCACATGTGAAAAAAATAAACTAGATTACAAAAGAGAGGACTTACATACACTTAGTTCTTGCAGGAGGAAAGGAACTATCTAGACGTTGTTATTTTGTTCAAAATAAGTATAAGTACAAAAATCTGTGGTAGTAAATCTAGTGCACTATTCTTACATGTGACACTAATAACCCAAGGAAAAATAATAAAATATTTCTGCTTCTTTTGAAATGAGCCTGTCATGGCCTGCATGGAAGTTCACTACTGATAAGCACTTTGTTTCTTTATTCCCTTACTCAGCTTTCCTCTTTTGTAGCTTCATAGCAAGAATCACAACCTAACACTGCATTTTATGTCTGTTTATTATGTGACTTTTTTTAGTTCCTGCTAGAATTAAAGCTCATAAAGGTAGGGACACATTTGCCTTTTTGACTAAGTTATCTGGAATAGCATGTAGCACTTAGTAGGAGCTAAATAATTATTTGACAAATAAATGGATACATTCATTGATGAATTTGATGTCCACATAAAGGCTATCTTTATTTAAATAAACCCGTTATTTCCATGAGTCACTTGCTCCTCCTGCTACATGTAGAGAACTATCATTCAGGATTTCAGTTGAGTTCTAAACAGTTGGATACTTCCACAATCAGGGATCTTCAATTTCTCCACTTGGTGTTTTATTCAACAGAAGTGCCTTTGGACATTCACACTTGATCTTCCAAAACCACATCAGCTTCTAGAACAATGCTTCTAGACAGTTTCTTAGTAACCCCTCAAAGACGTGATTTCACATTTTTATCAATGTATAATTTTATTTAAACTGAAATGACATAATATTACTGTGTCAAATATTATAGAGAAAGTTGGCCATCTTTGCATATGCTATTTTCCATTTGAGTTTCTTCTGTGAATTACTGTTCATCTACTTTCCAATATCTCAACTAGGTTATTTAATCCATTGATTTGAGCAGTACTTTATTTCTTCCTTTGTGTAATATATGTATTGAAAAATATCCAAATATACTTCATAACTATGTTGCCCAAATTTTGTAATGCATACTAACAAATATCTACCTGTTATATTCATTTTTAAGAAATATACTAAAATGTAATAACTTGTACTTTTCCCATCCCACTTTGCTTTTCTAAGCAGTATTTATGTATTTCAACTTTTTTTACAGTTTAAATACAATATACTTAGGTGTAGGTTTTCTTTGTTTTTTTTTTAAATACAGGGATTACCTACAGAGGAACTAAACATAGTAATATAATAAAATTGCAAGAAGGATGCCAGAGACATAAAATTGTTGGTGGTCTAAATTATCTGCTTTCAGATAATTAGATAACTGATGTCTAAATTAATACCCCACATACACAAAGATACACATATTACCATTAAAAGTCATTGAGCTGGGGATAATGCTAGTGGAGGAAAGGAATGGCATGAAGGGCTCTTGTTTTCATTAAAATACATCTTTATTGTTTAATCCTCAAACTATATACAGGTATCCTGATAAATTTAAAATACTGATTGCAAAATAAAATTTAATTCTTACTGAAATATCAAGAATGCTGCAGATGGTGGCAGAATGCTCAATGTGAAAAAGGATAGTGGCTTGCATTAGAATGACAGCAGCGAAGTTTGTTTTAAGCATGTAATTTTATAGTACCAATCTCTTATCTGTGAAAGCGTGTAAAAGACTGAGCTCTTCAGTTCTCAAACAAAAGCAGACTTTAACTCCTGCTCCAGTCATGCTTCTTTGCTTCTCAAACACCCACAACCACATCTCAGATTGCATCATATTTTGAACACATGGAAGGAAGAGTAAGGGAAATAAGAGTGGCTGGGTTACCACCCTCAAGAAATGCTGATCCCTCAAATCTAGACCTGCCAAGGGGCCAGGAGAGAAGGGAAAGCAGCAGCTCCCTTGAATTTTTAAAGTGCAATGTCCCCACCTACTGGTGAAGATGACCCAGTTAACATCCCTACAGCTGTCAATGTCTTCCTAGGACATTGACTTCTTCTAGTAGAATCAGTGTGCTTCAGCTCAGTTTTACACCAGAAGATAAACAAAATATAAATCCAAGATTTTTGCAGTGCAGTGGAGGTCTCTGAGGGTGTTGCAATGAGAATTTTAAACACAAAGCTAGTTTTAAAATAACACCATAATTAGCAGCCCCTTTCCCTAGTATCTATCTACTCCTCACAGCTTCTGCTCAGATTGTCTTCTCTCCATTGTCTCTTCCATCGCCCTGTACAAATCTCCTCTCTTACACTGCATTTCCTGCCCACACCCTGCTTCCCCATGCGTTAAGTTAGCAGCCTTTTTTCCCTCTTGTTGTTTTCTGCCTTCTGATATTTCAGATAAGAAATCTGTTTCTGGGCCGGGTGCGGTGGCTCATGCCTGTAATCCCAGCACTTTGGGAGGCCAAGGCGGGTGGATCACCTGAGGTCAGGAGTTCTAGACCAGACTGGCCAACATCGTGAAACCCCATCTCTACTAAGAATACAAAAATTATTCATTGGTCATCTACTTGGTGTCCAGCACTAGGTTATTCCTAAGTATCACTGAACTTTGTGATAACGCTGAAGATATGTTTGGAAGTTTCAGGAACCAGAAGAAGAACACGATTCAGGATGTTTCTTCTTGTGACATTTATTTAAATTCTCTGGTTCTTATATTTGAGGTTTGACTGTAGCTGGGGGAGGGTAGGAGAGGGATGGGAAAAAGAAAATGGAAAGATATTCCCTGGAAAAGAAGATAATTGTCTAAGAATTGTTCATTTTTTCCTTGTCTTGGCACTATGAGACACTGGGATATAATATAAAAGGTAACAGATTTTGAGAAAAATGCATTTGTCCCGCAGTTGGAGAATTCGTTAAGTTTGTGACCCTCAACAAATCACATATTCTCTGTTAGCCTCAGTCATTTTAACTTTAAAGTTTAGATAGCTTCCATTTGGTGGGATTAATATTAAGATGAAATGAAATTTTATATATGAGACCTACTAATTGCATATTCTGACAGAGAGCTACAACACCAAAGCTAAGCCCTGTTATGTGCTTCCACAGGGGACAAAATAGAGGCTGTGAAAAGTAGATAGTTGAGTAAAGCTCATCGAATTATTTAATCAGCTACTTCCATTCTTAACCATAAATCTTGCATAACCATTTAGAGGATGCTATCCTGAAAAAGATAATCAGTTTTACAGAGAAGTCTTGGTAGCTCTGAGGCTATTAATAACCCCAGTTACTACAGTAACAACCGGGAGGCGAAACAGATTAATCAGAGGTAAATAGGTTAAAATAAAGGTTATCGGAGTTCTGGGAAATCTCTATCTATCCCAGAGAAGAATAATGCATAATGAGTGATAAAATATTTGATTTTAAAAATTTAAATTACCCACAAATGATCTCCCATTCACAATTGCCACAAATAGAATAAAATACCTAGGAATATAGCTAACAAGGTAAGTGAAGAACCTCTTCAAGGAAAACTGCAAATCACTCTTCAAAGAAATCAGAGATGACACAAACAAAGTGAAAAACATTCCATACTCATGGATAGGAAGAATCAATATCATGAAAATGGCCATACTACCCAAAGCAATTTATAGATTTAATGCTATTCTTATTAAACTACCATTGACATTCTTCAAAGAATTTTTTAAAAACTATTTTAAAATTCACATGGAACCAAAAAAAGAGCTCGAAGAGCCAAGGCAATCCTAAGCAAAAAGAACAAAGCTGAAGGCATCACATTACCCAACTTCAAACTATACTACAGGGCTACAGTAACTAAAACAGCATGGTACTGGTACAAGAACAGACATATAGACCAATGGAACAGAATACAGAACCCAGAAATAAGACCACACACCTACTAGCATCTGATATTCAACAAATCTGACAAAAACAAGCAATGGGGAAAGGATTCCCTCTTTAATAAATGGTGCTGGGAGAACTGGCTAGCCATATGCAGAAGATTGAAACTGGACCTCTTCCTTACACCATATACAAAAATCAACTCAAGATGGATTAAACACTTAAATGTAAAACCCAAAACTATAAAGACCCTAGAAGAAAACCTAGGCAATACCATTCAGGACATAGGCATGGGCAAAGACTTCATGATGAAGAAGCCAAAACAATTGCAACAAAAGCAAAAATTGACAAATGGGATCTAATTAAAGTAAAGAGCTTCTACACAGCAAAAGAAACTACCAACACAGTAAAAAGACAACCCACAGAATGGGAGAAAATTTTTCAATCTATGCGTCTGACAAAGATCTACAATTCAGCATCTATAAGGAACTTAAATTTACAAGAAAAAAACCATTAAAAAATGGGCAAAGGACATGAACACATACTTCTCAAAAGAAAACATACATGTGGCCATGAAACATATGAAAAAAAGCTCAATATCACTGATCATTAGAGAAATGCAAACCAAAACCGCAATGAGATACCATCTCACACCAATAAGAATGGTTATCATTAAAAAGTGAAAAAACAACAGATGCTGGAGAGGTTGTGTTGGTGGGAGTGTAAACTAGTTCAACCATTGTGGAAGACAGTGTGGCAATTCCTCAGAGACCTAGAGACAGAAATACTGTTTGACCCAGCAATCTCATTACTGGGTATATAACCAAAAGAATATAATTTACTCTATTATAAAAGACATATGCATGCATATGTTCATTGCAGCACTATTCACAATAGCAAAGACATGGAATCAACCCAAATGCCCATCAATGGTAGACTAAATAAAGAAAATGTGGTGCATTATGTAGCCATGAAAAGGAATAAGATCATGTTCTTTGCAGGCACATGGATGGAGCTGGAGGCCATTATCCTTAGCAAATTAACACAGGAACAGAAAACCAAATATCTTATGTTCTCATTTATAGGTGGGAGCTGAATGATGAGTTCATAGTTCTCATTATAGGTGGGAGATGAATGATGAGAACACATGGACACATGGAGGGGAACAACACACACTGGGGCCTGTCGGAAGTAGGGGATGGGAGGAGGGAGAGCATCAGGAAGAATAGCTAACGGATGCTGGGCTTAATAACTAGGTGATGGGATGATCTGTGTAGCAAACCACCATGGCACACATTTACCTATGTAACAAACCTGCACATCCTGCACATGTACCCCTGAACTTAAAATAAAAGTTGGAAAAAATATATTTAAATTACTATTATATTTATCAAAATTATTATACTTATTGGTATAACAGTAACAGTTATCTTTTTTAGACCTTAATATGTGCCAGACATATTGTACATTAAAATATATTATCACATGTGCTTTTCTTAACAGACTATGAGGTAATTATTATTATCTAAATTTTCAGATAAGGAAAACATCTTTCAGTTTGAGTACCTTGTCCAAGATCACAGCTCATAATTTGTTTTAATGATATACCTTAGATAATCAGTATTAAAATTTACATAATACTTCAGTCATTTACACTAATAAGAAAAGTGTTTGAGCAAAATATTAAAAAAACAAAATTACATAATTTCAAATAACACAGCTTTTATTAACCCATTAAATTCATTACAAGGAACCAGTCTAAGGACTGTTGATTGAATCAAAAGAGTGATGGTGACATTCTCTTTATAATTGTCTTGAAATTAATACAAAACACTAATTTATATCACATATTATTCATATGAATTTATTTAACAACATATATTAATTATGTATAAGTGCTTTCAAAATACTTATGATGTTTGAAAATTAGACACACATTCGTATTTTAATGCCCCAGTTACACCTCTCCCAATGTATTACTGAGTAATCTTTTTAATTTTTATTGCACAAACAGAATCTCAGGTAAGTCTTTGAATTAATTAATGCTGGTGATTAGCAAATAAACACCCTTTATGTTTCATATGTCATGCACAATTAAGGACCTGAAATTAATTGAGGAGAATAGAGAACCTGCATTAACGAGACATTCCCTTGCTACCACTGTTGTAAGTATCCAGATAATTTGGGGGTTCATTATAGACATGGAAGAAGTATTTTGTATAAGGAGAATCTTCCCATGTATGCCTTTGGTTTTGCTCTCTCCCCATTACCCTTAGTTTTATGATTTTCTCCTTTTTCAAATCTAAAGTGTTCACAGATCAATCTGAAGAATTCCATATGGATTCAACAGAAATTTACTAAATGCCTAAAATGTGCTAAAGATATAGACAAAATAACTGCCTCTGTTGTGTATGTATATTTTGGGGGAGGAAATACACTAAAATATTTTTTAATCAAATATTTTACCAGCCATTATGCATCAGTCACTATCTAGGTGCCAGGAATGTTGCATGGAAGGAAAATGGGCATGGACTCTGACTCATGGGGCTGAGACTGTAGTAGACATGACAAACAGTTGTCTTTTGTTTTCCTATCATGTTAAGATCTGGGAGAGCATTCCAGGCAAAAGAGAGTGCAAGGCTCTGGAGGACAGTGTGAGCTTCGTGAAAGAATAAGAAGGCCAGTGAGGCTGGAACAGAACGGGTTGGTTGGACAATTATAGGAGACAAGATTGGACAAGTACACATGTAAGACATGGTAAGGAGATTTGATTTTATCCTAATGGTAATCAGATCAAATATCTCTACCCTAACACTTCACTGTCACATTTCATAAAGATACATACAAATGTGAAATCTTCCAGTGAATTTTTTCTGCTTTTTTTTTTCTAAACAAACCTTCATATTCTCAAAACTAAGGAGATAGCACCCAAGAGCTGAACCTAAGGAGAAGCAAATAGAAAAAGAGAAATTAGGAAATAAGAAAGTTAGCAGTTTTCTTTGATAGCAAGTGGAGGAATTAAACATTCCTACACTGGGCTGGGTGTGGTGGCTCGCGCTTGTAATCCCAACACTCTGGGAGGCCAAGGTGAGAGAATCGCTTGAGCTCAGGAGTTCAAGACCAGTCTGGGCAACATAGTGAGAGCCCTATCTCTACAAAAACTTTAAAAAGAAATTAGCCGGGCCGGTGGAATGTGCCTGTCGTCCCAGCTACTAAGGAGGCTGAGGCGGGAGGATCATCTGAACCCAAGAGGTCAAGGATGTAGTGAGCTGTGTTTGTGTCACTGCACTCCAGCCTGGGTGACAGAGACCCTCTCAAAAAAAAAAAAATCCTACATTGGAAGAAAGGAGAAATAACTTCTATTTTTACATTACTAAAGGGGAAAACACGAAATACAAAGCTGTCACCTGGCTTCCGTCAACAGTGATCTGATGATGAACGGTGTCCCCTCAGAATATAAAGGTGTTCTTTGAACGTTCACAGGAGCGATACCTAACCCGGATCATAGAGGGTGTTTGTGTTCAGAGGACACTAAATTTGAGTCTCTGCATGCATCACACAAGTCTTCACCCAAACTACCATTTGCAGGCTCACTTCTTAGCCCCAACCCTACTGAGAACGCAGAGCCATTTGCACGCTTCCTGTCCTTGGAAACGGAAGAAACTTCAATTACATGATGGCTTTATGCTACCTAGACCTCTTTCTTCAGTCTTTGGCATATTCTAATCTCGGAGGCGACTTTACACAGATGGCAATAGCATTCGCAGCTTGGAGGTCTTTTACCAGTGGCTAAAACTTGATCCAACAGCCTCAGCCGGTTCCCCCTGACTCCAGCCCTCTAGATGCTTCTCAACATCACCTTCATCTCCTTTCCTTTATTCAGGACAGTCGTGCCAAGAAATGCCTAAGAGAAGGGTGACCCTGGAAATGTCTTGACTCTGGGAAGATCTTCTAACCACTCCACATGGTAATAAGCACAGTGTTGACAGGTGTGAGGACTGAAGTGGGAGATCAAAGAGGAAAAGCCACGAATGAGGGTGTGGGGGGCAGTCAAGAGAAGCTCCCAAGGGAGCATGATCTGTGTAAATGCAGATTCTCTGGGTATTGGAAGATCCTTGGGGACAAATGCCAAGAAGACACCAACTTCTTTTATCAGCATCTCTCAGAATCCATGCCCTGTGGGTAGTTATATGTGAATATCAGAATCGCCCTCCACTGCCAGGGAGACCCAAGGCTTAATCTTGTATCTAATTTGGAAACAAAAAAAAATGTATATGATGAAATTATTCTGTAGTTTTGCTTGTAGCAGCCTCAGTTATCTTAAATATTCCTCCAACACATTATTTTCTTTATTAACTGTTACTATGCCCATGGCATTCATCACTCTGACACTTTCATAATGGATTATGAGGCTTGTACTTGTACTGATTTATTTATGTATTTGTCTCTGTTTGTTTTTTAGAGATGCGGGGGGGGGGTCTCACTGTGTTGCCTAGGCTGGTCTTGAACTCCTGACCTCTAGTTATCCTCCTGCCTGGGCCTTCCAAAGTGCTCAGATCATGGGCATGCACCCAGCCACATTTTTAACCTATATAAATAGAGATGGGGAGAAAAAACAAAAAACTCCAAAGCATTTTTCCTTCTGTCTTACACAGTTACTTCTGACATCAGGTATGTGGAGATTTTTCCCCCACACCAAGCAATTCTCCAGCAGACACCGGGTTCCTCTAAATCAATTCAATTCTGATACTATTTACCTAAAAATAGCATCAGATCCCACAGATTGAGGGATCAGTCATGCAAAACTGCCCCCTTCCCACTTCAGATGCCAGTTGCTATCACCTGTACTTCTGACCATCCAATTATAGATTGGAGGTTCCCACAAACCTTTCCTCAGGTTCAATTAATTTGCTAGAGCAGCCCAAAGAACTCAGGGAAACACTTACTTACATACACTGGTTTATTACATAGGATAAGACAAAGGATACAGACGAACAGATTGATAAAGAAAAACAAAACACATAGGACAAAGTATGGGGGAAAGAGTGCGGAGCTTCCACACCTTCTTCAAGAGCCTATCCTCCAGGCATCTTTCCGTGTTCTGCTATCTGGAAACTCTCCAAACTCTGCCCTTTTGGGTTTTAATGGAGGCTTTGTTATGTCAGCATGGTGAGTTGATTAAACCATTGGCCATTGGCAGTCAACTCAACCTTCAGCCCCTCCCTTCTCCCCAGAGATTGTGAGTGGGCTGAAAATCCCAACCCTCTAATCCTGCCTTGGTCTTTCTGGTGACCAGCCCCAGCCACCAGTCACCTCATTAGCATGCAAAAGACACTCTTATCACTCTGGAGATTCCAAGAGTTTTAGGAGCTGAAGGGCAGGAACCAGGGTCAGAAACCAAATATATACTTCCTATTATATCACAATATCACACACACTAGCTTGGGTCAATCAGTTGCATTAATTATTTGTGTATGATGTGAAGTACTCTTTTTAGTCACAAATTTATCTCTTTCAAATTACCAGGTAGGAAGTCAAAGGGAAAATTCTTTATTTCACTTTTGGAAAACTAATGAATAAACTAAATTAGTAATTACATGCTATTTCCACTTCTGTAAAAATGATATAGACCCTATATGCCTGTTATGAATAATAGATGAGCTTTGCAATGAAGAGCTATGCATGTTACTTTTTATTAGAATGAGTATGGCTTCAATTTTTATGTGACTATCAAAAGAGAAATATGGTTCTTTTTTCTAATTTAGAGTTTATCTAATAATGGTCCATGAGCTCTTGTGACCTCTCTTTAAACTAAGGTACATCTCACTGTTTCAACTCATGCCTCTGTGTCCTGCTCAGTGATTCACCATCTCCCTATACAAGAGATCCCCGACCTAGCAAGCTCATCTACAAACAAATATTCTTATTCTTGGAACAGAGTTGCCAAAAGCAGAGGCACACAGAAAAAAAAGTCTGTGTTTGAGAGCTCAGGAGAGAGAGGAGCCAAAAGAAACATCTACCAGCAGCTAAATGATTTGGTTCCTGAAGGGATTCGCTTCCATGAATAAGAATACGAGTAGGTACTCTCATTGGTACTTCTTCCTTATCTGTAGGTACCTGAGATGACTGTGTCCTCTAAAGCTTCTGTGATGCTAGATGCACCCAACATCATTTTCTATAATTGAGGATCGTAGCTTTCCCCTGTGATCCTCTGGCTCTATTGTGGGAAGATAGTCAAAAAATCATCTTTTAAAGTAGGAAATAAACTTCTTTTTATAGAATCAGCTCCCCTTCCTCTGCGCTTGTGGTTTCCATTACTATAAAAGAGAGCACTGAAGTCCAAAGAAAGTACTGTGTATTTCCCTTTTGGGGCCCTGATGTTCTGCCCATGGCATTCATGCCCCCAAAATTGTTTCATGCCACCATGAAATTGCCTCCACGTGGTGCCCATCTTTTTCCCTTCACTCATATTCTCAACATTTCCAGAACCAGAGAGAGAGAGACAGAGAAACAGAGAAGTTCTGACCTCAACACCACCTTTTCCTACAGAATATGTGGCACCCGTATTTTGTCAGAGAAGACAAATGCGTTGTTCCTCAGATTGGTAGGATTCATGGGCATTTCATCCTCATAATATGAGGTTGTATGCAGACAGTGCCTCCTGGTATCAAGAAGCCATGTGAGTTACACCACAGAGGAGAGGAAGTTAGGGGTTTCAAATATTTCAAAGAATAAGGAAGCTAAGTCATACTCAGAAGTTAACAAGAACTTTGGGGAGAGAGGAAGTCAAAATACAGAAATGCGTTCAAAAAAAAGTTTAGGATGTAGAGGAGGATGGGATCACCATGAGACAGCCGTCCAATGCCCATGATAGTTCCTGTTACAGTAAGCCACATCTTCAGATAGAGAGAGAAAAGGCCACATGTATACTTACCTTGTATGAATGAGCACTGTTGTTTGATGAATTCCATCTCTTCCCCTCTTTTCAGTCCCTTCATCCTCATTGTAATAACAAGACTGCTGGTGATGTGGCCATGCAGAGCTCTTGTCCCTCATGTTCTTTCCACCTCGATCTTTCACTTTTCTCTATTTCTGCTTCTCCTGGTCCTACCTGGGCTCTCCCCAAGGGCTGCTCCTCACCGGGCAGCTAGTTACACGGCCACCACCACCCTGCCATCTACACAGAGGCCCTCCATCTCTCTGTGACCATTTTGATGAGATCTCTTTTTTTCATGGCATCCATCTTGGCAGTAGCAAGTTCATAGCCCAGAGTAAGAGGATTACCTGTTGGGATGCACAAAGGAATTTAAACCCCATTGAAATTTGTGACCCAAATCATTGTTTATGCTTAACAGAAATAGCAGCAATAAGATCGATTGAGGAATTATCTCACGTACTAAAACAGAAGACCTATCATTTTGTGGGAGGTAGTAGCCATGAATCCAAATCAAGCCTAGTAGTAGTACATTCCCCAGCGTGCTCAGAATATGCATAGAGAGTTTAAATCAAGGCGTAAGAGTTTCCAACCCTTCTATCTGTATGGCCAAGCCCCATTCATGTTAGTGCTGGAAGCATTCTTCCTGTATCTCATTGGTTTCTCGGGTACTTTTTCTCAATGTCTCCATTTAAAAACGTTTATATAGAGTTCTGGTTTCTGCTTGGGGATGCAGAGAACTGGAAACAATGATGCTTCCTTGCAACATGAAAGAAATCACACAAATTGCAAGGTCGCAATTTTTTTCAACCCATCACAGAGCTGGGATTGAGCTTCCAACTAGCTTGAAGTCTAGGAAAGTTGTTGCCTGAGTGCTTGCTTACCTAAGGCAGGTACAGCTGGGCACTGGTAAGAAGAATTTAGCTGGAATCATTTAAAAATTGACTGAGGTCAAATGTGGGCTGGAAAGAGTACAGAGCCCCAGGGGCTCACGAGTATAGGGCGGTTCACACCTTCTTGCAAGCTTCGTATCCGGGAATGCCAGTGGGTGTTCACAAATAAAAAATGGGAGAGTCCTGAGAAGGCATTCCGCATGCTTTTCAAGGAAAAGAATAAATAGAAGTTAAAGGCTTTATACATCGATGTGCATCAAATGAGTTAATTAACAGAATATAAGGGAAGCAAAGACTTTACTATCTCATGTTGAGAGCAGACTACATACTCAAACCCTATTTCGTCTGTTTTTTGTTTGTTTGTTTGTTTGTTTGTTTGTTTTGAGATGGAGTCTTGCTTTGTCGCCCAGGCTGCAGTGCAGTGGTGCGATCTCCTCTCACTGCAACCTCCGCCTCCCCATTAGCAGGGATTACAGTCGCACACCACCACACCCGGCTAATTTTTTTTTTGTATTTTTAGTAGAGAAGGAGTTTCACCATGTTGGCCAGGCTGGTCTCGAACTCCTGACCTCATGTGATCTGCCTGCCTCGGCTTCCCAAAGTGCTGGAATACACGTGTGGGCCACTGCGCCCAGCCTCCTCCGTTAATCTATTATCATTCTTCTCTAATATTCTCAAACTTACTTAATTCATTAACGTGATATATGTTGACATCTCATTAAATATGTCTCTATTTATGACATACTCAACAACATGTGTGTAGTGTTATAAAATTTTAATTTATTTTATAAATATTTAACACTAACTGAGTGCCAGGCATTCTTCTATGCACTTAAATAGCAGACAGGCATGGTGGCCGACACCTGTAACCCCAGCACTTTAGGAGGCCGAGGCAGGAAGATCACTTGAGCCCAGAAGTTCAAGACCCTGTGGTTTCAGAGGCTGAGGTGGGAAGACCACTGGAGCCCAGGAGGTCAAGACTGCAGCGAGCCATTATTGCACCACTGCACTCCAGCCTGTGGGACAGAGGGAGTGAGACCCTGTCTCAGATGAAAGAAAGACAGAGAGAGAGAGAGGCATAGAGATGCATATGCACACAACGATTACATCGTAGGGCTGTTTAAATTACTCATTCTGGCTGGGGGTCTGTGCTCTAAACCACTATTGGTACGCTATTTCTGTGTGGCTGGTCTGGAAAGCTTCACACCACCCCCCTCTCCCTTCCCTGAATTTCCATATTCCCCCCAACCCTCATTATCCCTTTCAGAGTCTCGCAGGTTGAGGTGATGTGAGAGAGGAAGCAGAAGCGAAGGTTACGCGAGGAAAGCCCCTCGTTAAACTTGGGATTTTCACGGGGACTCAGTCCAGAGGAAGTTGAGAAAACCAACTTAAATTACGGTCTCGATCGCCATCTGGCGGTGGAAGTCCACATTACATCCGCGGAGCAATGGCTGGGAACGTTGCATAATAGAGCGGGGCTCAAATTCCAAATTAAGTTTCTGAATTTTTTCCATCTGGAATTTTATTTGATGATTAGTCTAGCATCGTAATGGTGTCCTTCGTGTTGACGTGAAAACCCAGTCTTCCTTCAGTTCATTTCCCGTTTATTAGGGATGCAAAACTCCAGCCACAGATGACCTACGACTCTGACTCCTTCCCCACCTACTTTACCCTCCCCTCCCCCAGTACATTCTGGGGCTAAACCCTAAGAGGTACCCATGCATCGCTGGGCCGATGATGAAAATGAAGAAGTCTTCTGATGAAGCGAGACCCCGGAAGTGCAGCTTCAGGCAAAATCCTGAGCGAATTCTTTGCTGCCAGGACAGTCCATAGGCTCTTACTCTTAGAAATTACGTAAGCATGAGCAGTCAACGCTGAAAAGCAGAGAATGTGGTTTTCTGGCGGACTCCAGAGGGAGACCAGGAAATCCTCTCACTTACAATCCATCAAGAGTAGTTCCTCCAAATTGAGTACAAAGTCTCTAAAGGCCAGCAGAGACAAGTAAGGACTTGTAGTGAGCTGCAGCTCACCACCCGGATCAGAACATAAAAGACAGGAGACCTCACGGCCTGGAGACCCACTAGAGCAAAATCTGCCATCCCAGGCAGGGAGGAGAATCAGGCGGAGGCCTGACATGGTGAGGCCTTGCTCCAAGTGGAGAAGGTGCATAAACTTAACAACTTTGTTATTGCCCTGAGGATGTGATGTGGCAAAGGGGACAAGGATTGGATAGATTGTCTTACTGATGGAAGTTGGTAACAAACAAGGCAAATCAAAAAAGAAGCCATGAGATCCAGGGAACTGCTGTACAGGGGACATGGCTGCATAATATTAGTATAGTAACTCATTATGCACTTGTGTGGCAGACAGTGGCTGAATTCTGGAGACGGAAAATATTAATAAGACACGGAGTCCTGCTTACCACCCAGGAGACATATTAGCAAACAAAGGGGCACAGCAGAAATGTGTGTAAAATTAGGACATTGAAGTCACAAACAATTAGGAAAATTTTCTAGTGGAAATGACATTCAAGCTGATCGAGGGTATATGGAGAATGGCTTCCAAGTCTAACAAAGCATGAGCGGCTTGGACACTTGGACAGGCTTCGAGGGAAGTGAAAGTCTTTCGGAATTGGTAAAATGGGTGGGTGACAGATGAAGCAGAGGGCTAGGGATGGATGCCTCACACACCAGGCTAAGGACTTGGGTCTTTGATCTGCAGTCAGTAGGACCAGTATGCAGACTGATAGTAAGGGAAGGGTCATGGGCAGCTTCACGTTTTAGAAAGACTACTCTGATGGGAAGAGTGGGTTAGAGGAGCATAAAATTGAAAGCAGAGAAAGCAGCGTGGGTAACTGTTAGAGTAACACAGACCAGACATGATGGGGCTCGAATTAAAGTAGGATCAGGGATCTAGAGAGAGGGTCAGAGACATGTGAGGGAGCAGATGCAACATGATGTGTCGTCATCCATTGTATATGGGAGAGAGGAGAAGGCGAGAGCAGAAGATGCTTGGGAGACCAAGTGGTTAGTAATTCCAGTCATCAAGAAAGGACAGTTTAAGAGAACATTCCATATTAGACATTTTGTATTTGTAGGGCCTGTGGGTCATCCAGATGAAACTTTACTCTGTGTGGTAGATGGAATAATGCCCCCAACTGCCACCCCTGAAAGATCTGAATCTATGAAACCTGTGAATCTGTTACCTTACATGGCAAAAGGGACTTTGCATTAGTGATTAGATTAAGGATCTTGAGATGGGGAGATTATTCTGGATTAGCCAAGTGGTCCTGATATAATTACATGGGTCCTTCTAAGTGAAAGAAAGAGGCAAGAGAATAGAAGAAGGAGATGTGATATTAGAAGCAAAAATCAGAGGAAAGTGATTGCTGGAAGGGGGCTACAAGCCGAGGAATGCAGCTGGTCGCTGCAAGCTGGAAGAGGCAAAAAACAGATTATCCGCTAAAGCCTTCAGAAGGGGAACACAGACAAGCTAACACCTTGATTAGCCCTGTACAAGTGTTAAAAGAAAAACTTTGAACAAATGAAATTTATTTTGATTTATTTGAGCAAAGCACAATTCATGAATTGGGCAGCATCCAGGACCAGAAGAGGTACAGAGAGCTCCACTGAGCAATAGGGGCAGGCAATATTTATAGAGAGAAAAAGGAAGTGGTATACAGAAGCAGCTTGTTTACAGCTCAGTATTTGCCTTATTTGATCATGGTCTGATCAGTTGGCAACCTGTGATTGCCTGAAGCTTGGCTGCTGTGTTTGCCTGAGACTCAGCTATTTATTACAAGAATATGCTCTTAAGTTAGGGTACAATTTTCTTACACATTAAGTTAGATTTCAGTATACTACGTAGGAATTCAAAGTACAGAGGCCGCTTTAAGCCAAATTTAATTTAATTTAACAGGACCCATTTTAGGCTTATAATTTCCAGAACTGTCCAACAATAAATTTTTGTTGTTTTAAAACACTAAATTGTGGTAATTTGTTACAGCACCAATAGGAAACTAATATATCCTGTAATCACGAAGCAATATAGCTCAAACCTCAGGCTTGGGGACCATATGGATTTGAGTTCTTATCATAGCTCCATCGCTTCCTACCCATATGAACTTGCGTGTCTTAATTAACCTCCCTAAGCCTCCACTTTCTCATTTGTAAAATGGGACTATCTACTAGAATTTCTGTCTGGAAAGAGGAATGGGGAGGCAGTGTGGTCAGCTGTTTTGCATAACAAGCCCTGTAGAAATACAGATGCTCCTTGACTTCAGGTGGGTTTGTGTCCTGATAAACTGCAAGTTGAAAATGCATTCAATACCCCTAACCTATCAAACATCATAGTTTAGCCCAGCCTACCCTCAACATGCTCAGAACACTTACATTAGCGTGGCTGACTGGGAGCTGTGGCTCACTACTGCTGCTCAGCGTCAGGTGAGAGTGTTATACCACATATCACTAGCCCAGAGAAAGACTGACATTTCAAATTTGAAGTACATTTCTTCCAGAATGTGTACTGCTTTCACGCCATCACAGCTGAACAATCTTAAGTGGAACCATCGTAAGTCAGGAACCATCTGTATTTGATGTTTTAAACCATGTCATGTATAACTTTTTTAAAAAAAAGATAAAATAATTTTAAATATTAAAATAGGAAAATTTTAAAAAGAAAAAAGACATTTTTTCTTTTCTTTTTCTTTTCTTTTTTTTTTTTTTTTAGGCAGAGTCTTGCTCTGTCACCCAGGCTGGAGTGCAGTGACATGATCTTGGCTCACTGCAGGCTCCACCTCCTGGGTTCACACCATTCTCCTGCCTCAGCCTCCCGTGTAGCTGGGACTACAGGCACCTACCACCATGCCCAGCTAATTTTTCATATTTTTTAGTAGAGACAGGGTTTCACTGTGTTAGCCAGGATGGTCTCGATCTCCTGACCTCGTGATCTGCTCACCTCAGCCTCCCAAAGTGCTGGGATTATAGGCGTGAGCCACATTTTTTATTTTCTAAAATGAAAATGTTGATATTTAATTTTTAATCCCCTTCAAAAAAGCAACTACTCTGTTTATGAGATTTATAGAGAATTCCATATAGTTAATACTAAATACATTCCTACATCAGAATTTGTTTAATACAAAATCAATTATTTAGGTTAAAATGTTAACACTCTTCCGCTAAATTACCACTGCAATTGTGTAACTTCAAAATGCTCAGGATATTGTCAACAGAGGAAATAGAAATTGATCTTCTAGCACAATAGTCAAACAAAATTGACTATACAAGATTTTGGATGCTTGTTACACTGTTGACTCAAAACAATTCTAAACAACTCAATGTACTTGATGGACAGAATGTACTAAGAAACCAACAAAAGCAATTCATTTCTTACTTAGCTACATAAGCTAAGTAAGAAAATCGCAAATGCTGACATCCAAGGAAGCTTTCCAAGCATAGAAATAAACTCTGATAGATTATTTCAGATCCAGGATATTTGGAAAATAAATCAGATTGCCTTTTTGGATAATTCCTAAAGAATCACACAATTATGACTTTTGAATCCTTTATTAATGGAGGTTACAGCAGCCTAAATAACTTGAAAAGTGGGGTTGGCTCTCAAATAACATGGAGGGTTTGTTTTAGAGGAAACATGTAACACGACAGGACTCCAGAAGCACGTGCTTTAAGGTATAAGGACATGTACCCCTGGTGACAGAGGATGTATAAATATTGTGAGTCCAAATATATAGGCCACTTGTTTAAGAAAAAAAGACATTAGGAGTATAAAAAGGAATCAAATGTAAGTGCAAACTCATAATAAATCTAAACTACATGAGGCATAAATCCTAAATAAGTGCTTAAGTAGCTGAAATAGTATCACTTTATGTTGGAAACCTGAAAGGGACTAAATATATGACATAGAGTCCATATTTAAAAACTTCATGTAGGCATTAAATAGAAAGGATACAGCTCATTTGACAACCAGTAGAACAGGCAGCTATTTAAAGAAGCGTAATCCAAGTTAATGATGTACATATATGAGGTATTAGAATACGTAATTCAATGGCCATTCATGATAAAATGCTCAGAAAATGCAAATAGAGAGGAACTGCCTCAATTTGATAAAGAGCATCTGCAAAAAATCTTACAGCTAACACAGCGGTGAAAGACTGAAATTTTTCCCCCAAAGATCGGGAACAAAGCAATGATGTCCACTCTCGCCATGCTTATTCAACATGGCGTTGGAAGTTCTAGATAATGTAATGGGCGAGAAAAAAAAAAAGGCGTGCAGATTTCAAAGGAAGAAATAAAAATGGATCAAAGTCTAATATGTAAAACATAAAGTCACAAAACTCTCAGGAGAAAATCTTCAGGATCTAGGATTAAGCAAAAAGCTTTTAGACTTGACACCAAAGGCATAATCCATAACAGGAAAAATTAATAACGTGCAACTACTAGTGGTTTGTCCTCACCAATTTGTATTTGAGGTTTATGGGGATACTTTGACACTTAGTTTTGTTGAAAATGTTAAGATGCTGTATTAAATTATACTTTTTATTTTGATATAATTGTTGATTCACAGACACTTTTAAGAAATGTTACAGAGATATCTCATGTACATTTTACCCAGTTTCCCCCAAGGATAACATCTTGTAAACTACAGTAAATTATCACAGTCTGGATATTGACATTGATATAATTAAAATAAAGAACACTTTCATCACTATAATATCCCTCATTTTGCCCTTTTGTAGCCACAGCCACTTCCCTCCCATTTCCACTTCTTCATTAACACAGCAATTATTAATTTCCATCTCTATAGTTTTGGCATTCCAGGAGTGTTATGTAAGTGGAATCATTTAGTAGACAACATTTTGCAATTTTTTTTTTCACTCAGCATAATTCCCTGGTGATTCATCCAGGTCGTGGTGCCTGTATCCAGTTTGTTCGTTTTTATTGCTAAGTAGTATTTCCTAGTATGGATATACCACAGTTTGTTTCCAGTTTTTGTCTGAATAAAGCTGCTATGAGCATACATGTGCAGATTTTTCTCTGAACATAAGTCTTCATTTCTCTGGGATAAATGCTCAGGAGTGCAATTGCTGGGTTGTATGGTGGTTGCATGTTTTGCTTTTAAAGAAAATGCCAAACTATTTTCCAGTGTGGCTGTACTATATTACATTCCCAGCAGCCAAATGTGAGTGATCTATTTTCTCTGCATCCTCACCAGGATTTGGTATTGTGCCTACTTTTTATTTTTAGCCATCATGATAGGTATATAGTAATATCTTATTGTGGTTTTAATTTGTAATTCTCTAATGGCTAATGACATTGCACATGTTTTCATGTCCTTATTTTGTATCTATGTATCCTTTTTGGTTCCATATGCATTTTAAAATAGTTTTTACTAGTTCTGTGAAGCATCTCAATTGTAGTTTAATAGGAATAACATTGAATTATAAATTGCTTTGGGCAGTATGGCCATTTTGATGATATTGTTTCTTCCTATCCATGAGCATGCAATGTTTTTCCATTTGTTTGTGTCATTTCTGATTTCATTGAGCAGTGCTTTTTAGTTCTTCTTGTGGAGATCTTTCACCTCCCTGGTTAGCTGTATTCCTAGGTATTTTATTCTGTTTGTGGCAATTGTGAATAGGACTGCATTCCTGATTTTGCTCTAGGCTTGACTGTTGTTGGTGTATAGAAATATTAGTAATTTTTGCACATTGATTTTGTATCCTGAGACCTTGCTGAAGTTGTTTATCAACTTAAGAAGTTTTTGGGCTGAGACGATAGGGTTTTCTAGATATATGATCATGTCATCTGCAAACAGGAATACTTTGACTTCCTCTTTTCCTATTTGGCTGCTCTTTATTCTTTTCTCTTGCCTGATTGCCCTGGCAAGGACTTCCAGTACTATGTTGAATAGGAGTAATGAGAGGGGGCATTCTTGTCTTCTGCCAGTTTTCAAGGGGAATGCTTCCAGGTTTTGCCCATTCAGTATGATGTTGGCTGCGGGTTTGTCATAGATGGCTCTTACTATTTTGACGTATGTTCCTTCAATAACTAGTTTATCAAGAGTTTTTAACATGAAGGAGTGTTGAATTTTATCAGAAGACTTTTCTGCATCTATTGAGATAATCATGTGGGTTTTGTCTTTAGTTCTGTTTATGTGATGAATCACATTTACTGATTTTTATATGTTGAACAAACCTCATATCCCAGGGATAAAGCCTACTTGATCATGGTAGATTGGCTTTTGGATGTGCTGCTGGATTCGGTTTGCTGGTATTTTGTTGAGGATTTTTTGCATCAATGTTTATCAAGGATATTGGCCTGAAGCTTTCTTCTTTTGTTGTGTCTCTGCCAGGTTTTGGTATTTAGATGATGCTAGCTTCATAGAATGAGTTAGGTAGGAGTCTCTTCTCCTCAATTTTTTGAAATAGTTTCAGCAGGAATGGTACCATTTCTTCTTTGTACACCTGATAGAATTCAGCTGTGAATCCATTTGGTCCTGGGTTTTGTTTTGTTTTGTTTTGTTTTGTTTTGGTAGGCTATTTACTACTGACTCAATTTCAGAGCTCATTATTAGTCTGTTCATAGATTCAATTTCTTCCTAGTTCAGTCTTAGGGGGTGTATGTGCCCAGGAATTTATCCATTTCTTCTAGATTTTCTACTTTATGTCATAGAAGTATTCATAATATTCTCTGATGGTTGTCTGTATTTCTGTGGGGTCAGTGGTAATACCTCCTTTGTCATTCCTAATTGTGTTTATTTGAATCCTTCTCTCTTTTCTTCTTTATTAGTCTAGCTAGAAGTCCATCTATTTTATTAATTATTTCATAAAACCAGCTCCTGGATTCATTGATCTTTTGAATCATTTTTGTGTCTCAATCTCCTTCCATTCAGTTCTGGATTTTGGTTATTTCTTGTCTTCTGCTAGCCTTGAGATTGGTTGGCTGTGATACTCTAGTTCTTTTAGTTATTATGTTAGGTTGTTAAATTGAGATCTTTCTAAGTTTTTGATGTTGGCATTTAGTGCTATAAATTTCCTTCTTAACACTGCTTTAGTTGTGTCCCAGAGCTTCTAATGTGTTGTATCTTTGTTCTCACTCATGTCAAAGAGTTTCTTGATTTCTGCCTGAATTTCATTATTTTCCCAAAAGTCATTCAGGAGCAGGTTATTTAATTTCCATGTAATTGTACGGTTTTGAGTGAACTTTTTTGTCTTGGTTTCTAATTTGATTGTGCTGTGGTCCAAGAGATTTTTTCTTATGATCAGTTCTTTTGCATTTGCTGAGGAGTGTTTTACTTCTAATTATGTGATCGATTTTAGAGTATGTGCCATGTGACAATGAGAAAAATGTATATTCTGTCTTTTTGGGGTGGAAAGTTCTATAAGATGTCTATCAGGTTCATTTGATCCAGAGCTGAGTTCAGGTCCTGGGTATCTTTGTTAATTTTCTGTCTTGATGATCTGTCTAACATTGTCAATGTGGTGTCAAAGTCTCCCACTATCATTGTGTGGGAGTCTAAGTCTCTTTGAAGGTCGTTAAGAACTTGCTTTATGAATCTGGGTGCTCCTCTTTTGGAGGTATATATTTTTAGAATACTTAGATCTTTTGTCGAATTGAACCATTTACCATTATGTAATGCCCTTCTTCATCTTTTTTGATCTTTGTTGGTTTAAAGTCTGTTTTGTCTGAAACTAGTATTGCAACCCCTGCTTTTTTCTGTTTTCCATTTGCTTGGTAGATTTTTCTCCATCTGTTTATTTTGATCCTATGTGTGTCACTGCATGACACACATGAGTCTTTTGAAGACAGCATACTAATAGGCCTTGGTTCTTTATCCAGATTACCACTCTGTGCCTTTTAATTGGGGCACTAGCCCATTTACATTTAAGATTAGTATTGATATGTGTGGATTTCATCCTGTCATCATGATGTTATCTGGTTATTTTGCAGACTTGTTTATGTGGTTGCTTTATAGTGTCACTGGTCTGTGTACTTCAGTGTGTTTTTGTAGTGGCTAGTAAGTCTTTCCTTTCCATATTTAGTGCTTCCTTCAGGAGCTCTTGTAAGACAAGTCTAGTGGTAATGAAATTCCCTCAGCATTTCCTTCTCTGAAAAGGTTCTTATTTCTCCTTCACTTTTGAAGATTAGTTTGGCCAGATATGAAATTCTGGGTTGAAATTATTTTCTTTAAGAATAATAAATGTTGGCCCCAGTCTCTTCTGGCTTGTAGAGATTCTTCTGACAGGTCCACTGTTAGTCTGATGGACTTTTCATTGTAGGTGACCTGGCCTTTCTCTCTAGCTGCCAACTGTTTTTCTTTCATTTCAACCTTGGAGAATCTGATAATTATGTGCCTTTGGAATGATCTTCTTGTGAAGTATCTTACTGGGGTTCTCTGCATTTCCTGTATTTTAATGTTGGCCTCTCCAGCTAGGTTGGGGAGATTCTCATGGATGATACCCTGAAATATGTTTTCCAAGTTGGTTTCATTCTCCCCATCTCTCTCAGGAACACCAATGAGTCATAGATTTGGTCTGTTTACATAATCTCATATTTTTCAGAAGTTTTGTTCCTTCCTTTTCATTCTTTTTTCTCTATTCTTGTCTGACTATCTTATTTCAGAAAGCCAGTCTTGAAGTGTGGAGATTCTTTTTTCCACTGGGTCAGTTCTGCTATTAATAGTTGTGATTGCATTATGAAATTCTTATAGTGTGTTTTTCAGCTCTATCAAATTGGTTATGTCCTTATCTATACTGGCTATTTTATCTATCAGCTCCTGCATTGTTTTATCATAATTTTTAGCTACCTTGGATTGGGTTTCAATGTACTTCTGTAGCTCAATGATCTTCATTTTTATCCTTATTCTGAATTACATATCTGTCATTTCAGCCATCTCAGCCCAGTTCAGAATCCTTGCTCGAGAGGTGATGTGGTCGTTTGGAGAACAGAAGACACTCTGGCTTTTTGAGTTGTCAAGGTTCTTGCCTGATTCTTTCTCATCTTTGTGGGCTTATTTTCCTTTAATCTTTGAGACTGCTGACCTTTGGACAGCAAAGATCATCCAACCTTTTTTATTTATCCTATTTATCCTATTTGATGACTTTGAGGGTTTGATTGTGGTATAAGGTGGATTCAGCCAACTGACTTCATTTCTGGACAATTTTATTTGGCCAGTATTCCACTCCCAACTCCTGGACTGCATGCTGTAATTCTTTGGGACTTGTACGGGGCCCTGACTTTGTTCTCTGTTTCCTCAGAATTAGGAATCCGCTGTGATGGGCGGGGGGTGGGGGAGGTGGCAGGAGTGGTGCAGTCCGAAGTGCTCCCAGACCACTGGTCACTACACTCCAATGAGTGGTGTCAGCCAAAGTGTTTCATAGTACAGTGACAGGAGGATCTGTCCTTGTTTGAGTGTACCAGCAGCAGTGGTAGTTGAAGCTGCAGCAGAGTACTAGCAGGTGCCGGGGTGCCCACCTCCCTGCAGGCATCCACCACAGTGGCAGAGGCAATGCAACTGCAGGAAAGGAAGGGGGTCCCCTGCTGGCAACTGTGTGTGTGGTCACACAGGAAGTGGTGTTGGCTTAGGGGCAAGGCATTGGCAGGTGCAGGTCTGCGTGCCTTTTCTGTGCAGGAGTGGTCACTCAGGGTGGGGGAGGATCAGCTGTTCTCTGCACAGTGTTAGCACAGGGTGGGATGATGGAGGGAGTGGGGCTGGCTGGCTCTGTGCCCACCAAGGCTCTGTCTGCAATGGCTGTCAGGAGGGAATTGGTGGGGGGTGAATTACACTCCTATATGCTGGTGAGGCAAGGAAAACAAAACCCACCCAGCAGACATGTACCAGCAAAATGATGTGGGGAGTTGCTGTGGGCCCAGAGGAAGCTGCAGTGTGGGGAGGGAGCATGCAGGCTGGTGCCTGGTCATAGGGGCCTCCTCGTTGGAGCTCTCCACTTACTGGTCAGTCATGGTCTGCCAGTGTAGAAGCTATGGTGCAGGCCCACAGAGCACCTGAGGCTGCTTTGCAAGCAGATGTGGCCAGGCCAGGGCCCCAGGAGAGGCCAGAAGACCAACGGTTGCTCAGGTAGAACCAGACTCATCTGATGGGCAAGACCACCCTACAGATTTCAGGACCAACAGTTTCCCTAGGGCTAATGTCTCCTATGGGAGTAAGTTGAGCCTAGGGAAATGGCCATCCCTGGCCATGCTCCACTGCAGATGCTCCTGCACTGAATCCTCTAGGCTCCACACCCGCTGGCTTGCCACCCCTACGGCTTCTCTAAGCAGCTCTTCCTGCCAACTCAAGTGTCCATGGTGGTCAATGGGTCTCCTCCTGCCATGGTTGCAGAGGTCATAGTGACAGTGGGTTGTTCCTTGCCAGTTCAACTCACCCATTTTCCTGGAGCCATTGGAGGACAGGAATGAGTCTGGATGTGCTGTAGCCCCATGTAGGGCTCCCAGCTTTCTCCCACTTCAGTCCAGCTTCTGTGTCTTCCCTCTGTCCACTCTAGGTGCCTTCTGTCTGAACATCTGTTAGGAGCACGCCAGTCATCTGGGTTCCTCATTGAGAACTGTTTCACCTGGCTGCATCTAGTCAGCGATCTTGCCCTCCCCCCAACCAAGATACATTCCAATAAAACTTGTGGATACTAAAGAAAAAGAAAATACCATCTGGATACTCAGCAAAAGTAGCAATGACTTATTAATAATTAGATTATCATCAGACTTTTTGATAGCAGTTATGTGAAAATGTAGTAACTTTTTAAGATACTCAAGAGCGGAAAATGGAACCAAGATTTTTATAGCCACAAAACTGACTTTCGACTATGAAGTGCAAGAACTTCCTGGTGTGGACTGTATATGCCGTCCCAAAATTCATATGATGAAATCGTAACGCCCAAGGTGACAGTACCAGGAGGTGACGCCTTTGGAAGGTGATTAGGTCATGAGGGTGCAGCCCTTATGAATGGCATTAGGGCCCTTATAAGGGAGATTCCAGATAGCTCCCTTTCCTTCTGCCACATGAGGTCTTAGTGAGAAGATGCTGCCAGCAGGCCTTCACCAGAACCCTACCAGGCTGACACACTGATCTCAGACCTCCAGCCTCCAGAACTGTGAAAAATACATTTCTGCTGTTTTTAAGCCATCCAGTCTCTGGTAGTTGGTTATAGCAGCTCATACAAACTAAGACACTTTCCTAAGTCTTCCTGAGGCACCTAGGAGAAATAGTTTCAAACAATCATGATGACTACATCAGTAGCTTATAATTCTTTTGATATCAGGATCCCTTTTTATTCATAAAATTGTTGAGAACACCAAGAAGCTTTAGTTTACATGGGTTATGTAAAGTGACATTTATATTAATTTATTTGTTATTAAATAACAATAACAAACCCATTACATGTTAACATAAACAACACACTTTTATGGAAAATAGCCGTCTTCTCCAGCACAAAAAAATAGTGAAAAAAAAGGAATTATTTTACATTTGTAAAAATCTCTTTAATGTCTGGCTTAATAAAGCTAGCTTGGTTATATATTCTTCTACATTCAAGCTGTAACAATATGTTGTTTTGGCTAAAGCACAAGAGGAAAATCTGGCCTCACTCTTATACACAGTTGGGAAAAGAAGGAAAGTTTCCATAACCATTTCAGCTATCGTAACTGTTCTTCCTTGATAAGACACCAAAACTCAAGAAATGGCAGATTCTTAAAGGTTAGTTGCAGTGTGGAATCTGAAACCTTATATATTAACTTTTCATATTCTGTTGTGTTAAAATTCACTAGTCTATCTTTAAATGGATCTTTATGCATGACTTTGCAATATCATGCATTGATTATTTGTAAATTATTGATTCATGGGTTTACGCAGATTTTTAAAATGTTGACATATTTTATTAAACAATATTTTTTAAGCCATATTTGTTAATATCACCACCAATCTCATCAGAAACATCTTTAAGTAGTGAGAAGCTGTGGCACACGTAAGTTTTCCAAAATTTTAATTTTCTCTTGAAATTCCAATTTCCACTGTCAATATTATTTTCTTTGATGGGATAGGCTCATTTTGTTTATTTTTGAGAAAATTTCTACCAAATACCCAAGTCTGAATAATCACAGTGTGCCTTTCAGTCATTCTTTCAAGGAAAATGATGACCCACTAAAAAAAAAATGTTTAACTTCACTCACAACTCATGCAATTACATAATGGCTTTTCCACAGGACAACTGCCTTTCCATCAGTATGCACCAGAAATGCTGCCTATGTTCTTACACTGACTATTAAACAGATGTGTGCTTGAGGTTTAAAATTTAGTAAACTAATGATTTTATTGCTTCATCAAGGTCACTGGCTTTTGCTTTTTTTTTTTTTTTTTTTTTTTACTGTAAGCTTATGGCAGTGAAGAACATGACCTACCTGTACAGCTTGGTGTCACCACCTTGATTTGTGCTCAGGCACTAACAGTTTCACGTGACCACCATAGATTTCTGTACCAATATGTAAATAATACAGTGAAAAAGGCAAATAACATCTTAGTATTAGTACAAAAATAGCTTGACTTCATAGGCCCCTTGAAGGGTCCCAGGGACCCCCAGGAATCCATGGACCACACCTTGAAAACCACCACATGACAGGGATATCAACATAAGGAATGATGGTGAGCATTAAACATATCTCTACTCACAGAACTAAGACTAACAAGGGAGCAAGTAGTCTATGCAATGGTACAGGATCAACTAATATAGACATAGTTCAACTAGAAAGCGGGGGAGAACATAGGTAAAAAGGGAGAACACAGGTAATAGGGAGAATGTAGGTAAAAAGAATTTCAACCGTTTTCAGTAGCCATTTTGGTGGTTGTGTATGAGTGTTATTATCCTTAGACTGCTGTCTATGTTAACTCAGGAAAAGCAAATAAGTATGGACATTCTAATTGTGTCTGTCCCTGTGTCCTTGAAAACCAGAGTTCTTGGTATAAAAGAAAGGAGATGCAGAAGTAATATAGAGAAGACTGATTTTTTTTTAAGATGGAGTATTGCTCTGTCACCAGGCCGCAGTGCAGTGGTACAATCTTGGCTCACTGTAACCTCCACCTCCCAGGTTCAAGCGCTTCTCTTGCCTCAGCCTCCCGAGTAGCTGGGACTACAGGCGCGTGCCACCACACCCAGCTAATTTTTGTATTTTTAGTAGAGACGGGGTTTCACCGTGTTGCCCAGGATGGTCTCAATCTCTTGACCTCGTGATTCGCCCGCCTCGGCCTCTCAAAGTGCTGGGATTACAGGCGTGAGCCACCGTGCCTGGATGACTGATTTTTTTAAATGTATACATGTATAAATGTTTTATTGCCATTGAACAGGCTGGACACAATGACCATTCCTATCTATTTAGGCTCCCCCACTGCCCCTCTCCCTGCTTTCTTTCCATGTCCTGACCGAAAAATCACAGAATGCCTCTGTGACCCAGCCAGCTGCAGGTTTTTCCCAGCAGGCTCGAACCCAAGCCAAGGCCTTGAACACTCCCAGGCACTGATAAACGTATCTAGGTTGTTTCTCTAAACACTGAAACTTTGTCCCAGCCCTGAGCCAGGTTCCTTAAACCTTCATATAAGCTCCATACCCTGACCCCCTCGCTGCAGACATACCTAGGCAGAACATCCCTTTTCTCTTGCTGTCTGCAAGGACTCCTGAAGCCCTCTGTAGGTAAATTCCCTAAACAAATGTTTTAGACTGATCACCCTGGCATTTAGTGCTTCTTTCTTTGAATCCTAACCCACACCATCTCAGAATGGTTTCAGGAACTTCCTTGTGGTAACTCCCTTGACGCCACTTTTGAGGTGACTCCAGCAGCGGGTTCAGTGGGACAAAACACCCTAACGCTGGATTATAGTCTTAAATGTCATTTCCCACTAAACTAAACCAGGGATTTCTGGAAAAATGGCTACCTCCAGGTCTGGCCAAGAAATGAACAAGATGAACCAGAAACATGTTGTCATCCCAGATAACAAAGAAATTATCAAAAGAAATTTGCGTCAAAAGAACTCAGTTTCATTTTTAGCCACTTGAAGAAGTTTTCACTCACCAAAAATGTAGGATATAAGCTTTAACAAGCATAAAAATTGCAATAGAGTAAAACCTATCAAACATTTAAATCCTTCTGTTTATAATTATTTAAAGAATGAAAAGTAAAACCTGATTGGCCATCTGTAGGTTTTATTAATAGTAGGAAACCAATTTGCTAACTTGAAAACTGGTAAATAAAAGGAGAGTCAAACACTGATCCTGCCTTTCCACTGTACCACTAAGTAGCCCACTAGTAAGTGGAGGGAAGTGTCTCTTCACTAGTAAATGAAGGGAACTGTCTCTTTGTAGCATTAATAAAGCATATAAATGAAGAAAAAATGACAGAATACCACCATTTAGCAATCCCCAATAAATTAACAGACCTAAGCAATTAGTATCAATGGTTGCTAACATCACAAAAAGAAACAGCTGGAAATTATGTCTCTCATGGTGAAAGGCCACAACACCACGTATAGATTTTCCAAAGGAAAAGATTGAACCAGAGTCTGATCCAGCCTCTGCATCCAGATGCCAATTTGCGGGAGGCACAGAAGGCAGAGGATGTGTTACACTGCACCATGTGTACGCAGCCAGCAAAATCCAGAGTGTGGGAAACTCTACAGGTCAAATGGATTGAGCTTTTCAACAGATTAATCATAAGGGGGAAAAAAAGGCTGATGGGGGAGAAACCAGTGAAGTATGAGAGACGTAAAAGACAACTAAGCTGTGGCGTCCAGGAACACATACCTGGGGGACTAGACTACAAAGACATGAAAGAGGTTACAATAAAATCAGGATATGGTCACTTTCGAGGGGAAGGAGAGGCTTTGATTGGCCTGACGTACAGAGACTTCCGCTGGAGCTGGCAAAGTCCTGTTCCTTGACTTGATTACAGGGGTTTTTCTTAAATAATTCACTAAAATGTACATTTTTTGTATCTCCATTTTATTTGACAATAAAAGGTTTTTAAAAACAGTGAAAAGGAAACAGTGACTACCTGAGCATTTGTCTTCTGAAGACTGTGGAGACTGCAGTTGGAAGACAGAAAGCTTTGGAGATCATGACTTATAGGAGTAGGGCTGGACCACAGAAAAGTAAATGATTTGGGGCTGGAAGGAGTAAGGTCTCAGGGGAGTTTCTGGACAATGCCCTTGGCAATGGGGATTAATGATGTACACGTAGAAGGGAGAAGGGCAGATGGGTGGGAGATGCATGATCTCAGAACACAGAGCTCCAGAATCAGTTCGGGCTCCTCCAAGGATCAGGGAAGAGAGTTATTCCCAGAACATTGACCTCATGAATGTCCTTTACCTCACCCAGGGCCCAGACTACTCATCACTATTTCAGGCTCCAGAGAGAGAAGCTTCAGTGAGGACCTTAGCATGACTGAGGGAGCAGAACAGCTCTTGAGACCTGGAGGCACAGTGATGAAGGTCTCAGGAGGCAGCCTCACCACCCCCCACAGCCGTTCCAGAGACTCAGGGGACAGTCCCATCCAGACAGCAGCAACCTTACTCCTCCCTACCCCCATGTCATCTCCCTCTGGCCAAAGAACCGGGAGAATGATCTGCCACTCAAAGACAAGGAAAAAGAGACATTACCTCATTACCAGACATCTGCGTCCTCACATATCCTGGAAAGAAATCGAGAAAAGAATGGATTGCCCCAATTAGGACCCAATATGATTATCCCGAGGGAAGAACAAATGGCTGGCAAGGTCAGCACTCTCTCTGCTTATCCCATTTCTAGCTTCAGAAAAAAATTATCCCGGTGATCCCTGAGAGGCACAATCAGCTTTCCTTGCCTCAGATCATTGACGTTAGGGAAGGTGGGAGTGGGGAAGGTCTGGGACAGGTGGCAGGGCACTCCTCACAGGCTCATTACCTTTCTGAGCCCTTAGCTGGATGACGATTCCCACCAGAAGGAAGATTAGCCCAAGTAGGAAGGCTGCAATGCCACTCAGCATCTTTCTCCAAGAATATTCAGACTGAGCTCCTATGGGAAACAGGTCTTTAAATTAGTAAAAATATCCCAATATTTAAAGCACTTTCTTGGAATCCCAGAATCTGTACTAGACACCAAATCCAATGCTAGCTAGAGAAAAATAAATAAATTTAGAAAAGGTTCTTCGAAACCAAAGTTGGCACCCATGGAGTTACCCCCCATCGGTTACAGATTCTCACAGCCCATAAGAATGCCTCCTAAATACTAAGACCAAAGAATTAGAGGACACCAGTTCATAGGGTTGGAAGCACATAATGAGGTGATTAGATCTCCTCATTTCTTGGAAGATATGAGGATAGATATCTGCCATGTTTTCTCCCACCCTAACCCAAGGACTCTGGTTTCTGTGACTGTCCCAGATCAAGGGAAAGAATAATTCATGTTGTGACCAAGATAAACGCAGAAGTGACACAGGCTCTGTATTGAGTCAGTATAGTCCTGAGTCAGGCCCAGAGAGTACTAGAAACTAATTCTCACTCCACTCCACAGAAACAGGGCTCAGCAGGCTGGAGTGATCGACAAGGCAGGTGTAGACATGTCCAAGTTCAGGAGTCATTTCTAGCATCACCACAGTCTGAAAGGTCCAGTCTCCATTCCTGATAGGGCCAGTGGACATGACCCCAGCTCTCTCCTCCTGCCCATTCAGGAACCACTTGATCTTGATATCCCCTGGATAGAAGCCTGTCACAGAGCAGTGCAGCAGATTATGCTGGTGCAGGAGTGGGGTCCTCTCTGGGTACACTGTCACCTCTGGTTGCACTAGGAAGGGAGGAAAAATGAGACACCGTGAAAGAAAACCACCAAGCTGGGACAGGAGATTCTTTAGGGACTATCACTATGTCTAATCTCTTTCCCAGATCACCCAAGTGAACACAAAGTATAGGCAAGTCTCAGCCCCCAAGATCAGTAACAGGGTATGTCAATGCCTGTCAGGAGGATTTAGACTTTCTGAGGTACTCCCACAATTACTGCTTCTCTTTGAGGGCACAATAGCCCTCGAAGTCCCTGAGAACCTTGGGGGTCTGAGACCAAGATCACAGTGGCTGACTTGTGAGGATAATATATCACAGCTGGGGCCAGAACATCTACACAGACAACCATTTATCCTAAAGCAGAAAATTGCTTGTAAGAAAGAAGAGCCATGGCCAGGTTCACATGGGGGACATTCCTGAGCCACGCCAGACCTCAGCTTCCAGCTCACCTTTTCTCCCCACAGTGAAGGGTGCGCCCAGCCTGTAGTTGTGTCTACAGACCCCATCCACGGCCTGTCTGCTCCTCTCCAAGAGATCCAGCCGGCTGTTCCACTGCTCAGCATCTGGCTGCCCCAGCTTGGTCAATGCCACAAACATCCCCACATCACTGTCGAAACGTACATACTCCTCCAAGTTAAAGATGAATCTGACCACAAACTGCACCTTTTCTGTCCCGTTGGTGAAGTAACAGTCAGCCTTTGCCTGAATCACAAAATCTTCTGGAAAACCAAAACCAAAACCATGAACCAGCCCCCTCCTCTGGGAAAACCCATGCCTGGTAAATTACGTCAGACCACATGGATCTAAGAGGAGGCCTTTGACCTCAGTATGCTCAAAAAGCACAGTGTCAAGTGAGAAAAGAAACAGAATGGGATTCAACAGAGAATGACATTTATTAAATTTTAAAAACACATAAAGAGCAATAATGCTACATATTTCTAAAAGCCACTCTCATACTTAGAGACTTACCAGACACGTTTAGAATGGATTCTCTAGGGAGGGGAGAGAATGAGAACGGAGGCAAGAGAAGAGACGAGAGAGTCTTGCACTACTGCCAATAATTACAATGTGCTGTGAACTCATTGGGTAAAATTAAACCAATCCTATGCACTTAAGAACAACAACTACAATAAAAAGGAAATTCAAATGGAGTTAATAATGTAGGTAAGTCAGGAAGGACGTCCTGAAGACATTGCATCTAAGTCAAGACTTGAAAGATAATTGCTATTAATGTTGGGTTGTAATTTACTTTCCTTTCTAAGTTCAGAAGCCTCCTCCAACTCTGAACTGAGCCATAAGAATGACCTTCCTGGGTGAACCCCACTTATCCCTCACTCAGTAGCTAATTTCAGATGAAGTTCCAGCCTGTAATTTCTCAGCATGTATACTCTTCTCTATTTCCTCTAGTAGTCTAAACCAGGGGGGAAATCTGAATTTTTCATCATCATTTAACATCTGTGCTGATTTTTTTTTCAGTTGTATTGTTTAATGGACATTATAAACTCAGGGCGGTTTCTATTCTCTGAGAATAATGATCTCTCCTGGCCAGGTTTGTTCCTCTTTTGTATTTAATGAAACTAACATGCAAAGGGGATTCTGTTCTTAGCACATTACATCCTGTTTCTGCTCATTAATATGTGCTTTCATCTCACATTGCTTCATGGCTGCATATTCTGTCACCTGTGCTAGAAAAATAACAGTGACAAGTAACTTGTACCTGGTAGCCGGAGGACAAGGACAATGTATTCTATTCAACTTCTCTTACTTCTCAAAACTGTTTAGTACAATTCTGACAATATAATAGTGGCTTAATAAATGACAGAAGGAGCAACCTTTGTTTCCAGTTTCATTTGTCCACATATACCCCAACTGAGATTTGTTTCCGTGTCCTGACCAAAAAATCACAGATTGCCTCTGTGACCCAGCCTACTGCAGGTTGTTTCTCCCAGCAGGCTCGAACCCAAGCCAAGGCCTTCAACACGCCCAGGCACTGACTGAGGTTGATACACACAATAAGGATCCTAAACAAGACACAATGTTTCCCTCTTCCTGCCTCCCTACCCCTTGAATAGGTGGCTCTGGTATATGAAGTCCATCCCATGTAAAGAGGCAAGGCGTACCTTTCTGCCAAAGGGAAGAACACTGTTCTTTGAAACCAAAAGCCACTTCCAGTCTGGTCTGTGGCCTGGACTTACAAAGAAAGGCATCACTCCCCCATGCCAATTCTTGCATACACACTGGAAAAAAACAATTGCTCTGTTCTTACCTGGAGAGTCTGTGCCTTGAGTCATGGAGGAATCCAGTCGGGTCAGATTCACTAGCAGAGCCACCACCCAGGGGACCCACCCAGAACCCATTCTGGAGAAAGGAAAAAAATGAGATAGTAAAATCGTCAGCCTCTTCAGAATGAGCTCATAAAATTCAGTCAGAAAGTACCCATTAAGAGTATAAATCGCTGTTTTTCTGGCTTCCCCAGGATTGGAAACTCCTCAGATTGACAACCAATCAAGATAGAAGAGTTTTGCATCATCAGGTACTGGGTAGGATACTTTCACAAAGTTGTGTCATACAACTCAACCATTGTTTGCCTGCAGAATCACTGACAGTAATTTAGGTATACTAAAAATGGGCTGGGAGAAGAAGTAAAAATATATGTTTGACATATTATGGGGCCCTAGAAGAACTAGGCAGACTGTTTATTATGTATTCTTCTATTCCCTGGCCTGTTCTGACCAATAGGTCTCCCTTCTTATTGGGTGTTGACATTGCCGACAGGCAGTGTGTAAATTAAGAAGGAATTAAGAGTATGTAAATTAAGCATTCTGAAGCATATGCCTCAAGAAGATTTAGTAAAGGGATTATCAGAGAAGAAATAGAAGACATAGAGAACATTTGGAGAGTACGATTTCCTATAAGCCAAAATGACCACAAAAAAAGAAAAGAAAACATGGAAAGAGAATTCTCAAAGAATAAAATTTTGCAAAAAGGCTCACCAGGATACAATCTAAGAGAGCATTATTGTGTTTTATGGTTAGTAGGGCACCAATAACCTTCAAGAGGACAGCAGAGTGTTAAAGGTAGAAGCCATATTTCAAAAGAATGAATTGGAAACAAGAAAACAAAGGCCGCAGATTAAAACAGTCTTTCAAGAATTTTGAAAGTGAAAACAAAGGAAAAAATGGGATACACTTTAGAAAAAAACAACACTAAGAAAAAATACTTTTCTTGGGTTTTTTAAATTGACACGTAATAATTGTACATATTTATGGGGTACAGCATGATGTTCCAACACACCTATACATTGTGTATTGATCAAATCAGGGTAATTAGTATGTGATATATATACATGATGGAATACTATTCCGCCATAAAAAAGCATGAAATCCTGTCATTTTCAACAACATGGGTGAACCTGGAGGGCTCTATGTTAAGTGAAATAAGCCAAGAACAGAAGGACTATATTACGTGATTTCACTCATATGTGGAATCTAAAAAAGTTGACCTCATCGAAGTAAAGAGTACGTTAGGAGTTACCAGAGGCTGGGGAGTCAGGGGTAGAAATGGGTAGAGGTTGGTAACAAGTACAAAGTTACAGTTAGACAGAAGGAATGAGTTCTGGTGTTTTGGGAAAAGAAACTTTTAAGACAGGAGAGACTTCAACAAGGTTGCAAGTGAAGTGCAAGGTATCTGTAGAAAGGAGAAACTGAAGAGAAAAAAGAGAAGAAAGGGGACATTTTCTCCAAAATGCTGTGGTCTGAATGTCACTCAAAATTCAAGTGTTGCAATTTAATCACCAATGTGATAGTATCAAAAGGTGGGCCCTTTAGGAGGTGATTAAGTCATGAATGCAGAGGCCTCCTGAATGGGATTAGAGACTTTAAAAAGGGCTAGAGAGAGCAGGGATGATGGCTCATGCCTGTAATCCCAGCACTTTGGGAGGCTGAGGAGGAAGATTGCTTGAGGCTAGGAGTTAGAGACCTGCCTGGAAAACATAGTGAGACCCCCATGTCCAAATAAAATTTAAAAAATTAAAGAAATAAACATGGTGGCATGCACCTGTGGTCTTAGTTACTTTGGAGGCTGAGGTGGGAAGACTACTTGAGCCCAGAAGTTCAAAGTTGCAGTGAACCATGAATGCACCACTGTACTCCAGCATGGGTAACAGAACGAGGCCCTGTCTCAATCAATCAATCAGTCAATCAATAAAAATAGAAGGGCTGGAGGCAATAGCTTGGCACTTTTGCCCTTCTGCCTTCCTCCTTGTGAGGACTGTTACACTGGAATGATTTGACTCAAGTGTTTAGTTAAGTATTCTTTCAGTAAAACCTAGACAGTAAAACACTATCTTTAAGCAAATAAAACCAAAAGTGCAAATTGTAATTCACCATCTATGTTATTATTATTTAAAGGGCAATGTTTACTCATCATTTCACATCATCTTTCAGCATGAAATGTGCCCCTGATTTGCCTATACTGTGCATGTTAAGAATGAACCCAGGGTATCATGGTAACCACAAGTTCACTTCAGTGACTTTTTTCAAGTCGATGGCCAAGGCATCAAATCTTCCAGGGCCATGACCTTGAACTTCTAGCTTCCAGAACTGTGAGAAATAAATTTCTGTTCTTCATAAATTACCCTATCTCGTGTATCTTGTTACACTAACACAAATGGACTAAGACAGAGAGCATAAGGCTTGGGGGAAGAAGGGTACACTTCTTCAGATAAAAGAATAAAGACAGGACGATTAGCAGGGGATAAAGGGGAATGAGGAAGTTCCATTTAGATGGTTGCAAGGGAGTCAGCTGAGAACAAGGCAAGATCTGTCAAAAAGGAGTTGGAAGAAAATATATTTGATAACTAAGAAGAGCAAGAAGTGGTCTGTAAGTGAGTTTTTAAAGTTTTAATTAAGCAGGATTCAGAAAAGAGAGGTGAGATGCAATTGTGCAACCTTTTACTGTTCTATGACCCTTAGTAAATGCCCTTGGTTAGAGGCCTGGATCAGACCAATCAGAAAAATAATTTCTTCTCCATGGGAGATTATAACAGGTAAAGAAAAAGAGAGCAAGACGTGGAAGACATCGCTAGTGTTCATCCTCTAATTCCTAGGCCCATGGAAAACGAGAAACTAGACTTCCTACTCTCCTGGAGCTGTGTGACTCGTTCTCACCAATGGAAAGTGAACAAAAGGTTCCTGGTCAAAGAATTTAACTCCTCGTGCATGACTCTTCTCCTCCTCCCCTACCAAGTCAACCAAGACAGCCTTGTGTTGAGATGGCACAATCCCAGTAGAAAAGCAGTCTAATTAGCTGAGTCACCATGAAGAGCAGCTGCCCCAGGGAATCACTCACACCTACAACACACTCTGTATGAATGAGAAACAACTGTTCTTTAAAGAAGGTACTGGCTTGGTTACCACAGCCTGGCCTGACTTGACTTAACTGCTACAGGACAGGAGCTAGGAGGCTGACCCCTCTCCCTCCACATCTCTCATGTAAATGTGACGATTCATGAAGTGGAAGGCTGGCCACAGGCTTACTGGTAGACCCCCGAGTACAAGGCATTTGACCCTGGTTTTGAGTACTCCTCCTCCAGGTGGATGGCTGTGGAGCTCACACTGGTGAGGGCTTGTGTGGAGCCGAGGATAAGGAGGCATCAGAGGGCACTCAAGCCACTGGGTCTAACTTCCTCCCTTCTTCCTGCCCACACCTACCTTAGTCTTTCCCAGATGTTTTATTGCATTTGGAAATGGAGACAAACACTCAACACAGGCTAAGTGAACAAGGACACGGCACGGAGATGATCAGATGCAGTAACAGCATGAGCGGGTGGAAGAGGCGTGTGTCCCCTTCTTTGTAGACAGCACCATGGCTGGCTTCTGCAGCTTCCCTCAGAGCTGAAGGAAGGGCCATGTGGAGAGGAGAGGAAGGGCCTAGACAATATGGATCAAACGGGGGCCTGTATTTAGATTTAGAGGAGAGAGGGGGTTGATAAATGGCAAGGGATGTGGGGATGGGGAGGAAGTGGAGGATATGGCGCTGGACCAGAAAGTTAGGAGGGCTGCTCTTTCTTCTCTGTAAATGTGTCTAAGGCTCACAAACTCTAAAATCTGACTTGCCTACATAATAATAGCTAATGTTTGTCAATTGCTTATTATGAGTTCATTTTCTAAGCATTATATAAATGTGTGCGTGTGTGTGTATGAGAGAGAGAGAAAGAGAGAGAATCATCACACAAAACCCTTTGCAGTAGATACTATCATGATCTCCCTTTTACAGATGAGGTAAGGATGGAATGAACCAAAGTTCACATAACTAGTAAGTCCCTAGGCTATACTTTTTCTGTCACACTGTATTTCTTGGGAAGCCAGGGAAACTTTATTCCTACAGCTTTAGCATTCCGGTAATGATAAGGTACACAAAAAGGGAAAATAACCAAGGAATTTCATCATAGCTGTTTGGTGTCAGGACAGATCTCTGTAAGGAAATCATATCCTACCTAACCAAAGGAAATCAGTGATCTCACATGACAAGCAAGGAATGGCATAGAGCCTGGCATGGGAACTAAGAAGAGAAAGCAATAAGCTTCAGTTAGCAAGCTATGGATCTCCTTAGATGGCCTCTGGTACATCTTAAATAAACTGAAGCATCAGATTCACCCCCATTAGAAGCGTTTTTGAGTCATTTTCTGTGCATAGTGTCAGTGTCTACGATAGAAGGGCCTGGGCTTATCAGAGACACTGTTCAGTTCTGGGGAGACAAGAGGAAAAAGATGTGGTTTTCTTCCTTTCTCCTGTATTTATGTTTTTGTCTTCTACTTGAACGAGCCTGAAAAATAGGGCAGGGTGTTTTGATCTTTTTTTCCTGCCTGACTTCAGCCAGCAGCCCTCCCTAAATAGCTACAGGCTCCTCTGTGATTTTTCACTCAAGCTCATATTTTGCTTCTCTCTTTTCTTTCCTTCCCCTTTCTCTGAGGAGTGAGAGAATTTGGGTGTATGTGTGGTTGTTTTTTGAGGGTGGCATAAAATTATTATTCTCCCTATTGCCTGACACAAATATCCCTTCAACTGCTATTTTGGTGACTTTGACATGGAAGTAAAACGTACATCTCAATTCATTTTCTTCCTTCTACTTCCTCCTAACACATCAACATAATCCACACTGCCCTGGAGGAGTTATGAAAAATATTCTGAGTTTCTAGGTAGAATATTAAATCATACTTTTAGAGAACACATTGTTGAGCTACAGTTTAATTGAAGGAATTGTACTAGGCTAAGAATTTTGCCAGCTCAAAATACTGGTTTAATTCTTTCTCAGTGGTGATTGACGTCTCAAACCAGCAAGAGGTGTAACATGAGGGGAAGGGGCTGGGGAAGAGGGAAAGGATGTAAGAAACAAAAGAAATAGTTAGAATTTGGGGTGTCCAAAGCAAACTCATGATCCCACCTAGTGAGAATCCATTTGGAAACTGAGGAACCAAAGGCTTTGGGCTCCAATCTGCAGCCACTTCTTTGATACGACTTTGGGATAGGTGGACTCACCCGAAGTATTGTTTTACATGTACTATTTGCCTCAATTTCCCTGTGATGGTTTTGTCCATCACCTCATCCTGAAAAAATAAATGTTGGTGATGCTTTGTTCCACATATTCGTTCATTTGAACTCATTATTCCCAGGAAATATCCATTGAAATTCAAAATATCATGAACTTCCAAAGGGTTTTCTAGAAAAAAAAAACAAAAAAAACCCCTTGATCTTAATGGGTGTTTTTTAATCTGTGCTAGAATCTGTTTGCAATGTTTTATTTAGGATTTTTGTGTCAGTATAATAAGTAAATTCATCTACAATTTTTATATTTGTGCATTGTCATAGTTTAACATCAATATTATACTTGCTTCATAAAAAAATTTTCTTCTATGCCATTGAGCCATTTAATTTTTGTTTGTTTGTTTGTTTGTTTTAGAGACAAGGCCTCACTCTGTTGCCCAGGCTGGAGTGCAGTGGCACAATCATAGCTCACTGCAGCCTTGAACTGGGCCCAAGCGATCCTCCCACCTCAGCCAAGTAGTTGAAACCACAGGCACGAGCCACCACATCTGGCTAATTTTTGTATTTTTTGTAGAGACGGGTTTTCGCTGTTGCCCACACTGGTCTTGAGCTCCTGAGTTCAAGCAATCCGACTGCTTAGGCCTCCCAAAGTGCTGGGATTATAGGTGTGAGCCACTGCACCCGGCCTCTATTTTCAATTTTAAAAGTTTGATATAGATGTAGCATATCTATTTTTTTATTGATAGTAATATCTTCTATCTTCTGTGTTCATACTTTTTTTTTTTTTTTTTTTGAGGCAGAGTCTCACTGTGCCGCCCAGGCTGGAGTGCAGTGGTGCGATCTTGGCTCGCTACAACCTTTGCCTCCCAGATTCAAGCAATTCTCCTGCCTCGGCCTCCCAAGTAGCTGGGATTACAGGCGCCCACCACCACACCCAGCTAATTTTTGTATTTTTGGTAGAGACAGGGTTTCACCATGTTGGCCAGGCTGCCCTCGAAATCCTGACCTCAGGTGATCCGCCCGCCTTGGCCTACCAAAGTGCTGAGATTACAGGCATGAATCACCAGGCCCAGCCTATTTTTTTGTCCACTTAACTGGTCTAGTCCAGGGAAAGGGAATTAAAGTGTTCTATTGGTAGTACATTTCTGAATATTTTCCTTGTATCTACCTTAATTTCTGCTTTATAAGAGCTACCTATTTGGTATTTAGAACTTAAACACATGTCTCATATATTCATATGAATTTTATACTTTACATTATAAAGTGCCCTTCTTGTCACACTCAATTTTTTTTTTTTTTTTTTTTTTTGGTGAGGAGTGTCTGAATTTCATCTTGTTTGGTAAGACGAATGTGACCTCTGCTTCCCTTTTGTTTGCCTTCTCTTGTTATGTCTTTGCCCATCATCTTATTTGTTGAAAATAATGAATACATCTTTCTGAGTGGCTTTATGTTAGGTGTCTTTTGCATATTGCAAATAATAGAGTTTTTATCTTAATCTAATTTAAAAATATTTTCATTTATTTAGTTCAGTTAAGAAGCCCATTTATAATTATTCATACAGCAAATAGATTCAGTCTAATTCAGAGATATTAACTTCTGTTAAGTATAATGTTTACATGAGTATTTTTAAAAATCTTTCACTATGTCTTTATTGTGCATTTTAAAAATTTTACCTTTTCAGATATTAAGGAAGGTGTATATTTCAAGGTTGCTTTGATAAGTTTATTTGTATATAATACACTTAGTTCCCTCTTCCTTTAGATAATTCCTATTAGTTTTAAATAATGAACAATCACAAAACTAGCTCATATCCTCTCCCTTCCTCTTTCTGTGTGTGTGTCTACCTTTGTAGTCTTAAATGTGTAAATACGAGCACTTGATTTATTAAAGAATATATTTTGATTCCTAGATGTTACAGACAAGAACATCAACAGGCTTATTTGATATCCTTATTCATTTTTCCACTTATTCTATAATCATTGAGAAATGTGTTTCAATTTCTCAATTAATTTCTTCCTATAATTCTCCTATATTTCTTACATATTTTGTAGTTTTATTGCTAGGTGCAAACTGATTCAGTTTTAGTATAATGTTCTGGTGACTTCATTATCACTATGTAATGGCTGTCTTTGTTTTTACTAATGCCTTTGGTTTTAGACTATATGTTTAGATATTTCTGTAATTACATAAGCTGTCTTTCTGTCTTCTGTTAGTGTTTGCTTTGTGTATCTTATATCTGGTTTTGATTTAACATTTTCATGTTTTTAGGTTTCTTGTGATCTTATGAAGGGCATATAACTGGATTTTGCGATATTGTTAATCTAATCTGAGAACTTTCCTTTAACTCCCATATTTAAGCTATTTATACTTGTGATCACTGTGCTATTTACATTCGTTTCTGTTACAATATATGGTGCTCTGTATTTGCTATGTCTTACTTTGCTTCTTTTGTTTTCCTTGCATCACTTATATTAAATCAATTACATTTTTATTTAAAGTATTATTTAATTTCCCCTTACTGATTTAGGAATTTTAAATTCTAATTATATTAGTTAAAAGTCAGTCTTATATTTTTAACATGTTTACCAAATGTGGCAGCATCTGAAGGTAATCAATATCTCTACCCTCCTTTCAAACAAGACAAAGACTTTAGGTGCTTTAACTTTGTCTGCCTCATTCTCATGTCACTTGTGGTTGCTCTGCCTTATTTTTAAATTTAATAGTCATTTTTATTACTGATTTTTATCGTTACAGTCATATTTCATTTCTCATTCTGATTTTCCAATATTTTAGACAGATTTGTTATTGTTGTTTGTGTGTGTGTTTATTTTTCTCATCTTTGCTCCCTTATCCTTCTGGGTTTAGTATCTCTGTTACTTACATGATAATATTAAAAAGCAAATGATAACTACAATACAATGCTACTTTCACCCAGAAGATTGTCAAAATTTTAAAAAATAACACTGTCTGTTGGTTATATACATATATATATATATGGAGAAACAGATAAACTCATATGTTGCTGCTGGAACTATAAATTAATATAGCCTCTATGAAGGCAATTTTGCAATATCTATCAATATTTGTAATGTATATATTGGACTCAGCAACTCCCCTTTAAGATTGTATCATACTTGTATTTTTGCACATGTGCATTACAATGTCTATACAAGACTAACTAGCAACAGCAAAAGACTTCCAATAACCTAACTAGCCATCAGTAGAAGGAAACAGGATAAATGAAATATGGAACTTCCATAAAATAGAATACTACATAGCCATATATTTTTAATTTAAAAAATAAAGTTCAGAACAGTGAACTTAGACAGCTGCTGTTTGCGAAAATACTGAGCAAGAATAAAGATATACATATTTGCTTAATACACAGTAAACTTCTCTGGAAAGATAAACACAAAGCTGGAAGAACGGATTGCCTATGCAAGAGGAATTAGCAAACCTTGAGAAGGATTGAGAGTGAGGCTTTCCTCTGTATACTTCTTTGTGTCTTTTGAATTTCAAACCACATTCATATATTGCTTATTTAAATAAATAAATAATATATTTTAAAAAGAGGATAGTAGGAAGATAAGTGGAGTCAGGGAGTATAGGCAACTCTTTTGAGGAGTTTTATGCAAAGCTGGGCAAGTCCACCTCTTCCTTAGCTATGTGACCCAGGCAAGTTAGTAAATGTTTCTAAAACTCCATTTTCTCACTCTTAGAATTGAGATAGTAATACCTGCCACATAGAATTATCTTGAAAAATAAGGTAAGAAGACAGGTTTCAGATACTTGGCACAGCAATAGCACATAGTAAGCACCAGTGAATGCTTAGTAGTAGTAGTAGTCTAATTCCTAAGAGTCCATGGAACTCTAGGTTCAAAACCCAGTTTCTTCTGGGACCATTAGATGGCATCAGACTCAAGCAGGTGCTCCTCTAGCTGACAGCTCTAAAACACAAGGAAGATCTTTGTTTTCCTTATTCCCTAGTCCTTTCCCCACAAAATTCTGACAATTACGCATTTCCTGCTTGTTTCACAATTGCCATGTGGATTCCAAGTGGCTATCCCTGGGTGGAGGCATAAAGGACTTGAAACTCAATGCTGTTTCCACATAGGGCCGGGCAGACAGGCTATGGAGGTGTTTTGGCATCCAAGGAAATCTATCAGTTTCCCAAGCTTTCCCCTCTCCATTCATACTTTCCTTTAGAAAGAATAAGGCATGCCTGGGTGGGAAAGATACTGCAGGTAAGCGACAAGAAGGGGAAATTACAGGGTAAGGAGATCAATCAAATGGTGATGGGGGGTAGGAGTGAACAAAAAGAACTCTGGAGCAAACCAGGATTAGTGACATCTGTGGTTCCCAGACAAACCACACTTACAGGAATTTGTCTGTCTAGCCCGAATATTTTGACTTTCAGGGAGCATTTTTCTGTGTCCCTGACATAAAGCCTACCTGGGAGTTTCCCCTGAGATAAGAAACTTTCAGGACATCTTAAGGTCTACTGCATCTTCCTGTACTGCCCATCAAGATAAGTTTTCCACCCAGCTTTATCATGATTAGCTGCGTGATTTCATGTCAGTTTCTCTGTAAAATTAGGTTTGACTGTTGCATTATTTTTAAGATGCCTTCCAGGCTTAAAGTATTATGATGCATGGGTATAACTGTACTGAGGAAATCAAAGAATTTCTCAGATCATCTTCTTCTGTGAGGGCTGCAGCTTCCATGTAGTTGGGAGATACAGGAATTATTATTCCTGTTTTATGAATAAAGGACATTTGTGGGAGAGAAAGGAATCAGGCCAGAGTTCTTTCTCTCCAAATGCCTATTTTACCCTCTGTGAAATTTGAGAGATGGATGGGTGTGGAGCTGCAAGTCAGCCCCAGGATGAAAGAAAGGCAAATCTGCACAAGAAACTGCCCACTCTCACCCCATCCTCACTGCACCCTGCTCCCAACAGCTGCCAGGCAAGAAAAAATCCAAAACAGCAGTTCTGGGGAATTCATTGCCAGCACTGGAAACTACCTGCTGTTTCCAGGAATATGAAGGTTTCTCTTTCCTAGAATAGCAACTTTCCAAGGTAAGTCCCTCCCAACAACCAGTGATGTGTACAATGTTGCATTTTCAGTGGTGGGAGTGGGCAGGGAGGATTAAGATTAGTACGATGGTGGAGATATTTATTCATTTATTCAATTGACTATTTATTCTCCACTATGAATTAGGCCCTCGGCCAGGTAGCAGATATAAAGCTTAATAAGATATATGGCTTTCCGCCCAGGTGCTCATGGTCTAGTGGAAGGTCAAAAAAGGTGGGAAAGGGAAGATAGAACTTTAAAAGGGCTGTGAAAGAGGTAACCGCACAGTGATAGAAGCACATGGAGAGTTCCCCAGACTGACGACATAAGTAAGGCCTCCTGGAAGACCTGAACCCTGAGTTAAGTCTTGAACTTGAAAATCAGGGGCGAGTCGAGCAGAAAATGGGCAAGAAAACACCATATGCAAAGGCACAAAGGTGTTGGGGAAGGCAGAAGTTTGTCGTGGAGCTGGATACAACAGGAGAGGGTGAGACAGATGGGCTGGAACAGTGTGTGCTCTGAAAAGGATCTCTGCAGCAGGGCTTGAGAGCACCTGAAGGAATTTCCAGAAATGCCATCATCGTATGTGACACAGAATTTAGAAAAATGACTTTGTGAAGAATGGCCGGAAGAGGGAAGCTAATGGTAGAGAAACCTCTCTGGTGATGGGATCATCTTAAGTCTATGAGTGAAGACTATAACAACGGGACTGGAGAGAAGAGAATAGATTCTGAATTATTTAGAGCTAAGAGCAGCAGAGCTTTTCTTGATGGGATTATGGATTAGGGTTTATGGACCCAAGATGCAATATAATTGATTGGGTCAGGGTGTGGACTCTAGGGTCAGGCCTGTGTTCAAACTCCAACTCCACCACTACGACCACCTTGGGAAAGTCATTGAGCCTCTTTGAGCTTCAGTTTCCTCATCTGTAAAATGGGGATAATAACCAACCTCATAGGGTTGGGGATAATGATTAAAAACGATAATACATGAAAAACACTTAGCATAGCTCCTACTCCCATTAAAACTCTATAAATGGTAGCTGTTACCAATGTCGCTATTAATACTGTTAATCAGGGAACTGTTCTCTGTCCCTCCAGACCCTAGCTTCTTCAAAATAGCAGACACTGGTAGGAACAAGGAAGGATATAGGAAGGCAATCTCATGAATATTTATGTCATTTTTGGTTAATTTCTATCTCAAACAACAGATAAACGACTGATGGGACAGGCAGCAAAATAGCAACTATGGTTATCTCCAGGAAGTGAAACAATGGGTACTTTTACTTTTCTTCTTTGTACTTTTTTATATTGTCTAAATTTTCTATATGAATGTATACAGTTCATGTAAGAAGGAAAATATTTTAAAATATATGTATTATGCCACAAAATACTCCTCATCACCAGGCAAAGCTCTAGTCACCAGGGAATTAAGTTTCCTGGACACAGACAGCCCCCACCCCACCCCACCCCACCTCTCTACCCCACCAAAAGCACACAGTGTCCAAATCTCCATCGTGCCTGCAACTCAGGAACAGCTATCTGGCCGCACAGCTCTAGGGAAACTCAAAGCAGGAACAGCTCTGGGTCCTGGAGACGCCCCTGAGAAGAGGGCCCAGTATCCCTGGGGCCTCAGTCCATCAGCCGCTGCTGCACCAGGCGGGAATAGAGGTCCTGTCCCTCCTAGAGCTGGGCAAGCTTCTGCAGCTTGCCCTCCTGGAGCACCAGGATCTGGTGGGCGCGCTGAACTGTCTGCAGCCTGTGAGCAATCACCAGCACTGTGCGATCCCCACGGGAATTCCAGTCCTGCAGCTGAAGGGGTGATCACAGTGCCTCAGAAAGACAGGAATGAGATGGACACCACATCCACCTGGGCACCATCTCTTATGATTTAGGGTAAAGAAGGTGTGAAATAAAAGAAGGTAGGAAAGGGCAGTAGATAAAGGCCTGGACTGCCCTTCTCTCCCGGCTGTACTGCCACAGCTGGAGGAATGGAAGCCCAGGAGGGAACTGGGGCTGCCCTCACACCACCGGATTCCATTCCCCAACCCCAAGAAGGCACAGACTGTTTCCACTAGTAGGTCCTTCGTCCTCCCTCTGCCCAATTCTGCACAGTCTGATCCTCCCAGCATGCCCCTCCCAGGCCCCACTGTCCCCTGCCCTCTCATGGTACTCACGGCCTGCTCGCACTGCACATCTAGGGCACTAGTAGCCTCATCCAGGATGAGGACCCGCGGGTCTCGTACAAGGGCCCGGGCAATGGCCAGACGTTGTTTCTGTCCCGCAGCCAGCTGGCTTCCCTTCTCCCCTACATCTGAGGAAATCAGAGAAATTCCCTTCCTCAGATACAAGTGACACAGACAACACACAAGGAGGGACAAGTGCACAGCAGGTACTTCCAGTAGGACCTCGGGAGGTGGGAGGGCCCAGTGCGGGGAGGGCCCAGTGGGAGGAGGGCCATGGGGTGGGGACCTGACGGGGCTGCCCATGGAGGGAGCACCACTGCTGCATTGCTCTCTGCAAACAAAGACTCTTGATCAAGAGGGAGGCTGAAGAATTCAGTGTGTGGGGAAGGAGACGTAGGAATGGAGGAAAGGGCAGAGGAACAGCAAACATCAAGCTACAGGGACACGACCTTCACCACTAAGAGTAAGTCTGATTTTCTCTTTTTTACTGAAGGAGCAAGCTTACAATTTGTAGAAGATACCTGTGTATATTCCATGCTCCATTTCCTGGATGAAGTCATCTGCGTGGGCAGCCTGGGCAGCCGCCATCACCTTATCATCTTCGCAGCTCTGCAGCCCATAAGTAATGTTGTTCCTCACAGAACCGGAGAACAGCACAGGCTCCTGCCCAACTGAAACCACCTGTGCAGCAGGGACAGGGGCAGAGGACTATGTGTAAACCCCCAAGGCAGGGGCCCTTTTGTCCTCCCCACCTACCTCCCTCAGAATGAACACCTGGTGCGCCTTCCCGTGGATCTCCCATCCTCTCTCTGTACATGCTCCCCTCTCCTGTCCCCTGTCTTCTCCCTCCTCACCCACCTGGCTGTGCAGGTAGCAGTGTTCATACTGTGAGATGGGCTTTTCATCCAGCAGCACCTGTCCCCCTGTGGGCTGGTACAGATTCTGCAGCAGGGCAGCCACTGTGCTCTTCCCAGACCCATTGGGTCCCACCAGCGCCGTCACCTCACCAGGACGTAGGGTAAACGTCAGCCCCTAGAAAACCAGAAAAAGAGTTAAGGGCCTGCCCCTTCTCCCTCAAAATCCCTCCATTTCTCTTCTTAGCAGAGGCAAGACCAGGTTCTCAGAGGCAAATGAACTATAGGCTGTGATGTCCAATTATGCATTAGCAGCAGAGAGCAAGGGTCCAGGTTTCCTCCCTCTTTCAGGCACCTTGAGCACAGGCCTGTCAGGGCGATTGGGATATGCAAAGGAGACGTCTTGGAATTTCACAACCCCCTGCAGAGTGGTGGGGGCAAGCGTGCCAGGTGAAGGCAGATTTGGCTGTCGGTCCATGTAGGAGAAAACCTTCTCTGCAGCTCCCACGTTGCTGAGCATATCCCCATATATGTATACCAGGGTCTGGAAAACAGGAATGGGAGAGCCGGCTAATTAAACACACTTCTACCAGAAACCACCCTCCCAACTCCTCACACACTCCACTCACAACTGCACTGCTCCTCCTCCATACTCAAAAGAGATTCTCCACTTTTAAATGTACAATTTGGACGGAATTTAAAAGTGGCACCAATACCCCAGTGTTCCAATTTGCAATATAAAGGATATACAGTCCCTTCTCCTACCATACAGCATTGCCTCTAGCCCCAGATCTTTTCAGTTACTGCTTCCTATTACTTGTGCCCAGTTCTGTCTTGCTTGATTAGACGGGGAGCTCCTTAAATGCAGGCACTGTGCCCAACTCACCTTTGTAGCCGTCAGAGTGCCCAGCGCAGTTCTCTACACAAAAAAGATGTTTATCAAGTGTCTAGGAAAATGTTTAAATAAAGCCCTGGATGAAGTAGCTGTTTTTGAGAACTGGTAAATGTAGGAAGAGATCTAAATGCTCACTCTGCCTTTCCTCATCAAACTGTACCACCGGGTAATGAAATGGTAGATGAGGGGAAGTCTCCCTTCATAGACTACTTCAGCTAATACATGAAGAATGATAGAGTATCTCCCTTTTGCAGCCCTAATTCTGTCATGGATGTAGGTACTGCTCATCAGTGGCTGATGTTGCCACAAATAGAGAACCAGACATTGTGTGCCTCTTGGAGGAAGAATGCATCACCACCTAAAAAGTACTGTTGCTGGAAAAAGACCAAAAAAAACCCCTCAATCTCACAAGCTTCTAGGTTTATCTATCAATAGACAGGAAGTACAGAGGCAGAAGAGCATATAATACCACAGGGATTCAGTCAACAAAATCCAGACCCTAAGAAACTCCACAGGACAAACAACCTATTTCTTCAACAAATAAACTGTGCAAGGGAAACTTTTAGACAGATACATGGATTGATGGGTGGATGGATGGATAGATGGATGGATAGATAGATAGACAGACAGACTTAAAAGATGTATCAACCAGTCACAATATGTGGACCATTTCTGGATCCTGATTTAAGCAAAGTATAATAAACACACTCATACACATATACTACATGGATACCACAAGTGGAAATTTGACAATTGACTATTTGATAAATTTTAAGAACTACTGTTAATTTTTTGGTGTGATAATGGCTTTGTTGTTATACACTTTTAAAGATGTTTGTATTTTTAAGAAACATACTGAAATATTTACAGATGAAAGTATACAATATCTTGGATTTGCTTCAGAATAATATGGGTGGGGGGAAGTGGCTGGGGATACAGATCCAACAAGATTGGGCATGAGTTGATCATTGTTAAAGCACAGGATGTACACATGTGAGTTTGTAATATTATTTTGTCTCATTTTTGGCATATGTTTAAAATTCTCCATAGCAAAATTACTTGCGGGTTTTGGTTTTGTATTGTATTGTTAAAAAGAACAAATAAAGCCCAAGGCCCAGGAGTCCACAAAGAAAAAGAGAGGGAAAAAAGGAGAGCAGGCTTGGCTTCTCGCTCACCTGCACATAGCTCCCCACGCTCTCCTGGTAGATCATAAAGGAAAGCAGGCTGCCCTGGGTGAGCTCCCCATCCTGCATCTGCTGCAGCCCACAGCTCAGCATCAGCATCTGCACCCCCAAGTGCAGCACCTGGAAGAGGAGAAGAAAGAGATGAGGCTGGGAATCTTCCCATTCTTTCCCCCTCTCTGCCTCTATGAGACTGAGCTGCAAAGGCCTCTAGAACCAGCTGTAGTTTCCTCTTCCCTTGCCCTCCCCCTTTCCTGGGCTCCTTTCACAACCACTCTGGTATCTTACCCTCCTTATGAGCAGGTACAAGGCGCGTTCCAGGTCTCTCCGCCAATACAGCTGCCGACATTGTTCAAGGGCCTCTTTATAGCGACAGACTTCATGCTCCTCGGCCCCAAAACTGCGAACGGTCTGCAGCCCTCCAACGGCTTCCCGCACCACCTGCCCCGCCCTGGCCACTGCATCCTGGATCTCCCGAAGCACTTCCTGGAAAAGAGGGCCAGCAAACACCAGGGCTGATGTGCAAAGACAGCAGGCCCCCACATCTTACTCCAGCCAGTGAGATGCTCCCTAGTCTACCTAAAAATACCAAACTGTTTCTCTCCCTCTTCCTTACTCTTCTTTCCAGAAGGAATAAGAGTGAAGGAGCAAGGGAACAAAATATTATTGAGCTCTCAGTGTTAGGTAGTATAGGAGATACATGCAATTTTTTTAACCTTCATTTGAGGTAATTTTCCCATCCCCAGTGTCTGAATCAGGAAAGAAGGGTAGTTTTCCCAAGGAGCCACAGATAGTTAAGAAAGGTGGAGATGTAATTCCAAATGGATCAGAGGCCTAAACATAAGAGCTAACACTATAAAACTCCTAGGAAAATGTAGAAGAAAAGCCTCATGCCACTAGATTTGGCAGTGATTTCTTGGATATAACACCAAACGCACAGGCAACAAAAAATAGATAAATCAGACTTCATCAGAATTTAAAACGTTTGTGCATCAAAGAACTCTAGCAACAGAGTGAAAAAGCAACCATGAAATACAAGAAAATATTTGTGAATCATATATCTGATAGGAAATTAATAGGCAAAACATATAGTGAACTCCCACAACTTAAAAAAAAATCAGAAAATGGGCAAAGAACTTGCAGACATTCTTTCAAGAAAGAAACATAAGTGGCCAAAATCACACGAAAAGATGCTCAATATTTACTAATCATTAGGGAAATGCAAATCAAAACCACAATGAGATAATCCTAATCACCTAATCACCATTAGAATGGCTATTAAAAAAAAAGACAACAGAAAGTGGTGTTGATGAGGATGTGGAGAAATTGGAAACCTTATGCACTGCTGGTGGGAATTTAAAATGGTGCTGCCGCTATGGAAAACTGTATGGTGGTTTGATACGATCTGGCTGTGTCCCTACCCATATCTGATCTTGAATTCCCATGTGTTGTGGGAGGGACTGGGTAGGAGGTAATTGAATCATGAGGGCAAGTCTTTCCCATGCTGTTCTTGTGATATTGAATAAGTCTCACGAGATATAATGGTTTTAAAAAGGGGAATTCCCCTGCACAAGCTGTCTTTTCTCTTGTCTGCTGCCATGTGAAATGTGTCTTTCACCTTCCGCCATGATTTGAGGTCTTCCCAGCCACATGGAACTGTAAGTCCAATAAACCTCTTTCTTTTGTAAATTGCCCAATCTTGGGTATGTCTTTATCAGCAGCGTAAAAATGGACTAATACATGGTTCCTCAAAAATTGTTAAATAGAATTGCCATATGATCCAGCAGCTCCACTTCTAAGTATATACCCAAAAGAACCAAAAGCAGGGTTTCAAACAGGTGTACACTCATGTCCACAGCAGCATAATTCACAACAGCCAAAAGGTGGAAACAACGCAAATGTCCATTGACAGATGAATGGATAATCAAAATGTGATATATGCACACAACAGAATATTATTCAGCCTTAAAAGGGAGGAAATTCTAACACATGCTACAATATGGATGAGGCCTGAAGACATTACGCTAAGTAAAATATGCCAGTCACAAAAAGACAAATACTGTATGGTTCCACTTACGTACCGCACCGGGAGTCATCACAATTCATGGAGACAGAAGGTACAATGGAGGTTGCCAGCGGCCAGGGGTTGGGGGTAGTAGGCAGTTACTATTTAGTGGGTACAGAGTTTCATTTTAGGAAGATGAAAAAAGTTCTGGAGATGGATGGTGATGATGGTTAACCAATAACAACTAAATGTCACTGAACTGTACACTTCAAATGGTTGAAATGGTAAATTTTATGTTATGTATGTTTTACCACAATATAAGAGAAAAAGAGAAGGTGGAGCTGACATTCAGACTTAGGACTTCCTGATGACGCCTCCTTTCCCTATGCTGCATCCAGACTTCTTCTGCTGATTTTAAAGGGAAAATCTCCCTGCCTAAAAGCCTCTAAGAAACCATTTTTAATCTTCGCAGTGGGGGCGGGGGATGTACAGACTCCTTTGAGAAGCTAATGAAAAGTTATCATCGCCTATCATCTCCCCTTCCTATTCCCTCCCCCATACCTTCACATACACTTTACATTTTTGTTTACAGTTCTGGAGAATCATGAATCTTCTGAAGTCAAATATCCATTGTTGGATGGCTGGACAAACAAAATGTAGTATATACTACAATATACCTTCTCCCCTAATGGCTGAGAAGAGAACATCTCTCTCTAGGGGATCCTCTAGCCACAAATGTGGAAGCCTCCTCACCTGTCAGTTTTATTCTCCCTTTGGGGTTCCCTTACATGCACGCTCACCTGATGGCGGGTGTTGTACACCTTCTCCGCTGCTATTGTGAAGGGCATGTGCAGCAGAGAAAGGAGGGTGAGTCGAGGCGATATGCTGAGCATGAAGCCATACAGCCCCACCACTTTCACCAGGCTTCGCAAGAGCACATTGGCATTTAAAGGAAGCCAGTTACTCATCAGGGTGGTATCCGAGCTCAGCCGTGAGTTCAGCTCCCCTAAGAAGGACAGAGCAGGTGAGGAAAAAGGAAACCATGTGTACTGCAGGGCCCCCAGAAACTCCCTCCTGACCGTTCCCTCTGACACAGCCCCCTCCTCTGAACATCCTCCTTCACTTGCAGAGGGACAGTGGAGGCTGCTTCTCCACCCTGTCCCAAACAAGAGAAAAGCATCCCCAGGTCCTGGCATACGGGTGAAGGCAGGAGGAGAGGCTGTGGGTGGAAGGTCACTGAGGGGCAAGGGATGTCCATGGGAATCTCAGACCTGGACTCCAGGCCCCACCTGTCTTAGTCTCCTGGAAGAAACCGAGGTCCTGGCGCAGCAGGGAGGAGAAAAGCTGCTCCCGGATCCGCAAGTTGATTCGAGACATGGTGTAGGTGAAGCAGCCTCCTCGGCAGCCTGCAGACAGTGAGCTGTGGGGTAGGAGAATAAGAGGGGAGGGAGATGCAGAGAAGGAGCAAGCCAGCGGGTGAAACAGAGGAGCAAGCCAGGAGTGCAGAGAAGCGCAAAGTCAGGGGAAAGCATGCCAGGAGGGGCAAAAGAGAAAGAAATGAGAGACAGACACACAGAGAGAGAAGAGGTAAGGAATACACAGAGGAAGAAGAAAGAGGAGACATGGTGAGCTAGATGTGAGAACAAAATCATAACATGTACAAATTTACAAGTATTTATGGAGTGCACTCTGTACTAGACACAATAGAAAACTACAATAGAAGGGAAAAGATATTGTGAAAACAAGTATCCCAGTGCTTGCTTCTGTCCCAGCGTCCCTCAGGCTTGTCCCTCTGTGCGTCTCCTCCGCCTTGGTCTCCTTCCTGCCCCATACCCAAAGCCCTTCTCTGTCATCATAGATACTTCATCATGGGAACTGCAATAATAAATTCCCTGCCCCCACAATTCTCTGGAGCCCCAGAGTCATGTGATTCCCATCTTTCATCCTTCGAGTTGGAAAATCCCTCTTAGACCAACTACATGCTACAGTAACACTTAGAGGAAAAAATATAAAGCATAAAAGCATGTATTTTACAAAATATATGTTTCTAATACAAATTTAGTTACCATATTGAAGAGGCGTTTGGGAGAGTCAGACATGATATAATGAGGGTTTGTACTTTAATGACAGGGATGTGTTCTGAGAAATGTGTCATTAGATGGTTTCATTGTTGTATGAACATCATAGAGTGTACTTACACAAACCTAGATGTCATAGCCTACTGCACACCTAGGCCATGTAGTTTAGCCTATTGCTCCTAGGCTACAAATCTGTACAACATATGACTGCACCTAACACTGTGGGCGACTGTAACACAGAAGTAAGTATTTGTGTATCTAAACATAGAAAAGGTACAGTAAAAATATGGTATTATAATCTTGTGGGTCCACCATCTTATATGTGGCCCATCATTGACCTAAACATCGTTATGCAGTGCACAACTGTAGTTTCAGCAGAAAGCAGCCAGGATGGAATGAAGGCACAATGAAATGGTTTTCGAGGGTACTCTAAATTAAGTATGACCATAAAAATAGAGACAATCAGGCCGGCTGGGATTTGGGTAAGGTGAGTGCACACCTCCTTAAACTTTGCACCCCAGGTGCCTCGCTCACCTCATCCCAGTCCCAGCCTTATCAAACAGTTTGTTTGTTTGAGTATGTCTAGAAAAAGAAAGGAAAGCAAGTGAAGGGAAAAGAGTAATGATTCTGGAAAGAAAGGTGATAAGCCTCAGAGTAAGATCTTCAGGGATTAGCAAGATGAGCTGGGAAAGAAGAGTGAGAGGGAGAAGCATACCCATCCTGAGGGAGTGACCCTGGAGAGATACTTTGGAGACAGACTTAGGGGTAGGAGGTAGGAGGCAGAAAGAAATGGAATTTCATGGACCTAGGAATGTTGAGAGACAACTGAGAGACATTCCACCTGAGACTTAAATTCCTTTTGTACTACCTTCACTCATAACTTGTTCCTATAATAAGATCAGATAAACTTTGAAGATATTGGATGAATATGAACGAAGGAAGAAATGAATGGATAGATGAAACAGAATGGTGACTACATTCACCATATTTTAGTTTAAGTATTTTTGTGTTTTGCGCCTGAAAGGGCCTAGAAATGGAGTTAGGGAAGTGAAGACCCCTATAAAGATTTGGGGCTAGCAAATGGACCCAGCTGCCCACTACCTACCTGCCAAAGGAGAAGAGGCACATGAAGAAGATGGCACTGGCAAAGGCATGGGGGTCAAAATCACCTCCCAGGATGTCAATCACACGACCAGAATAGTGAGGGATTAATGTCTCACCTGAAAGAGGCATGAAAAATAACACAAGAATGTGCTGGTGCGCAGGCCCTTTTACCACCTCCAACTCACAACGTCCTCTCCTGACTCACCCAAAACAGCAAGGACAAGGAAGAAGAAGGCGGCAACGAGGAGAGGCAGGTCCGGCCTGGAGAGCTTCAGCAGCCTCCACATCAAGACTTTGTTGTTCACCTGGTCCTGCTCCTTCTCCTGGGCTCCAGGAGGGCTCAGAACAGCCCACAGTGACCAGCTGAGCCCCGCAGCCCCGTACCCCACCAGCAGCCAGCTCCAAGGGGCTGAAGCGACTCTGGCTGGGGGAGCACGTGAGGCCCCCGCGACCAGGGCTCTCAGGGAGACAGTCAGGGGGGTGGCCAGACAGAGCGGGAGCAGCAGTGTCCCCACAAATCCCAGCAGCCCTCTTAGCTTTAGCAGCCCCCACAGCCCTCCCAGCCGCAGGGTCCCCTCCAGCCATAGTCCTGGCAGCCCTTGAGGAAGCAAAGTCCCCAGAGGGCCCTGAAGCAGCCACAGTAAAGCCGCGTCCACCAGCAGCAGGGAGGTCCAGGGTCTCAGGTCAGGGAGCCGCATGGCTCTGTCAACGGATACGAGATGAGAAATCATGGGGGTGGAGTCCCAATCCTTGTCCCTGCCCTCCTACCCGCCCGGCTCCGCCTAACCCGTCCATCGGCTTCTCATTTCATCCTATTCAACCCTGAGAGCTCTCCTGAGTAACCGGTGCTCATCCGTACACCCCTCCTACGACAGACAGCTTTCGGCCTTCTGGGGAGCTGGAAGCATGACCATCAGGAGCCTCGTGCTTAAAAAAAAAAAAAAATCCCCGGACCCCCACCCCCACCCCCGCCTGCCGCGGCGAGCTAAGTGGTCCGGGCTCCGCTCCCTCCTATCGCCGGGTGCAGAGGGACTGGGAAGCAGGAGCGTGGAGTGGGTAGTCACTTGGGCTGCGTTCCTGTTGGCGCTCCAGGTTCCCCTCCGCACCAACTCACCAGCCGCGGCGGGGAGACCGCAGCTCCGGGGGCTTCTGCTTCAGCGCTGAGGTCCGCTCCGTCTCTCCCAACCTCGCTACCGGCTCTGGTCCGCCAGCTACGCTCGGCCAGGGCGGGCGTCAGGGCTCGGGCAGCTTTCGCTTTCGTTTCCCCAACCAAGGCCTTCATTCTGGGCTGGGCCGCCGGGAGGGGGCGCGCGAGACCCGCAGACAGCGGAACTGGAGCCCGAACTCTGGTTCGCACTGTACAGGCCTGCAATGAGTCTCACTCGCCTTTAGTGGCGGTTACTCTGGGATATAAAACTGCAAAAATGTTTCTTTATCATTAAGTAAAATACAGTTGTCTCAAGGGCAACTGTATCTGTTGTCCTTGCTTTGTAATTGGAGAATGCTTTGTAATTGGAGAATCACTGAATTTTCTCAAAGTTACTACTTCAAGCTCTGAGCCTACTATTAAGAAGTGCCTTCTTTCTGGTCCGGCGCGGTGGCTCACGCCTGTAATCACAGCACTTTGGGAGGCTGAGGCGGGCGGATCGCCTGAGGTCAGGGGTTCGAGACCAGCCTGGCCAACATGGTGAAACCCTGTCTCTACTAAAAATACAAAAATTAGCCAGGGCGTGGTGGCGGACGCCTGTAATCCCAGCTACTCGGGAGGCTGAGGCAGGGGAATCGCTTGAACTCAGGAGGCAGAGGTTTCAGTGAGCCGAGATCGGGTCATTGCACTCCAGCCTGGGCGACAAGAGTGAGACTTCGTCTAAAAAAAAAAAAAAAGTGCCCTCTTCCATGCAAGCTCCAGTTTTAGGCGAGCGAGCCGGGCTCTCCTAAATAGAAGGTTCCAACCAATCTCACCAGGCCAAAGGGGATTTTCACGTACAGACTTTGAATTTAGTAGGCCCTGAGCGTTCATCTTCATCCGTCCTTCTCAGCCGGAGCACCTTGAGCTGGCGCGTGTTCAGGTGCCTCTGAGTCTGTACTCCAAATTATGTTGGGCGCACCTTCAGCCTATGAGGGAAATGCCCGGTACTGGGCTTTGGTTCTTGTTCTATTTTAACACTGTTTAGAACAGTAATTAGGTTTTTAAATATCCTTCCTGTCCCAGAGCCTTCCTATGCAACAGAAAGATTCGTTTATTCCAGAAAGGACTCTTCAGATTGAAACCACCTCCCAAACTAAAAACAAACAAACAAACAAATTCCCCAAAGGAAGGGTCGCTTGGATTCCAGATCACCATTTTGAAATGTTACCTGTGTGACTACCAAGGAGTCACTTAAAGTTTAAAATAGTGGTGGTGGGGAGGAGGGATTTTAAGTAGGGGCTCGCTAAAGTTTTACAACTCTATTCATTCTGGCATTTTAAGAATCTCTCTCTAATGAAAAAAGCTCCATGCTCAAGCTCATGCTCCTACTTTCAAGCATTTGTTTCCTTTATTTTCTGGAAAGTGACATGGTCCATAGTTCCAGCATGATTCCGAAAATCTCATGATGTGTGTCTCTTTCTTCTAACCTGGATCTTTTACATTTTCCCCACACTCCTCACTTAGGGGAGTCCTCCTGATCTCTTCTTCCTCTAAAATTATAGTCCTGCCATCTTGCAATTCAGCATGACACATCATGAAATTAGACCCTTAATGTCTGTCTTTATATTCAATATCCAATATCTCCAAAGTGTTATTTGGGATAAATGGTATGGTGTTTATATGATTACCATATTAAAGTGAAGTGGAAGCTTTTTCATCCTACTCTATAAAGTCAAAAACAGTTATCCTAGGTGCCCTACTCCCTGTTCCTCAAACCATTAACAATGGAGCACACAGGAGTCCCCAGGTGCCTCTCTATGGAAAGGACCCTAACCTATGTGAAATTGCAAACAAGTGTCCATGGACAGCAATGAGCAGCCTTCCTGAGGTCTTGGAGAGATGAGTGTGGAAGGAAACCCCAGGAAGAACTATGTGGTGAGGCCACATTTCTTAGATAGGGGTCTGAGCCCCTTCTCCAGAAAAAGCGTCTCTTTACTTTCTGCCCCACCCAACAACCACAGGCCCAACCCCATTCAGCCACAAGACAGAGGTATTTATAACCGTTTTTCTTTATTCTACTTAGTGGGGCACCCAGAAACTTCCCTGGGGGAAATGCTTGTTCAAATAGAGAACACGCAGAAGATGCACTTCACCGGCCTCCTCTGGCTGCTGAGCCCGTACTCTCTCTTTGGCTCAGGCTAGGCCTCTTCTTCTCCTTGGACTTAACGTGGCTTAGGTCCCTGAGTCGGCCAAGACCTCCCAGAGGAGACCTGCCCAGCTGCCACCACCACCATTATTGATTGGCTTCCCGGTACTGGTGCAGCAGGTCACTGACATCTGTACTTTCTACTTTCACCCAACCATCTTCCTTCATGTGGTACACTGTGGACAAATGAGAAAAGAACATGGAGTCACCTTTCACCTCAGCAAGTTCCTGTCACTGATGTTATGTTGAAGGCAGCAACAAGACACATGCGCAAGCTTAAAACCATATGACTGGGCCTTTAATGCCCTTCTTCTGACTCTGAAAATTTCCTCCCTACTACTCTCCCTCCTTTGAGTCTCTCAATCATTTTCTTTTTTTTCTTTTGAGAAGGAGTCTCACTCTGTGGCCCAGACTGGAATGCAGTGGCACCATCTTGGCTCACTGCAAGCTCCACCTCCCAGGTTCAAGTGATTCTCCTGCCTCAGCCTCCCAAGTAGCTGGGACTACAGGCACCCGTCACCACGTCCGGCTAATTTTTGTAGTTTTAGTAGAGACGGGGTTTCGCCATGTTGGCCAGGCTGGTTTCTCAATCTTAAATCACCCCCCCCACCACCCGCCGACTCCTCCCAGGCATGGTGGTGGGAGCATTGGTCTCTTACTATTGACAACGCCTCCAGAATAGCTGTCTCTGTGAGTGGCATAAGCAATAGCCCTGCGGCCAAGGTCATAGGCCTCTTCAGGGCTAAGATTAGGCCGATAGCCACTGTCCATGACCCCGTAGGCATAAGTGTTCCCACTACCCGTGGAGAACATATTTCCTGAGAGCCGAGTCCCATGTTCATCCACGTAGTAGAGTCCAGGACCCTATAAGATGAAAGATTTCAGGCTGAAATTGGAGAGGAAGATGTTGGTAACATGGGGGTTCAAATATGAGACATAAAAAGTGAACAAAAGAATTAATATTACCACAAGAACATTGGAATTAGGAAACCACTTTGGTAAAGTCATCGAACTTTAGAAATGAAAAAGGAAAAACAAACTTGAAATCAACTGTTTAACAAAAGGGACAAGCTTACAAAACACATGCAATGATTCATATCTGGGCCAATAAATAGTCCATGGATATACTGAAACAGTTCTATAACCAAGCACTCTATATGCCATGCATCTTGTCAGGGAGGGAGTAGGAGTATATGATGGGAAACAGATCTGTCATCCATAGGGAACATGGTGGGGGAACATGAAGAATGGAGAGCACCCACCTTCTTATCCCAGCCACAGATCATACTGCCCATAGAGAGGCCCATGCCCCGGTACTGGCACATCATGTTGGACAGCAGCTTGGAGGCTGCCGACACTGAAATACGTTCTCCATTTCGCAGATAGTACAGCCTGGGTGAGGACAAGGTGGAGTGAGGAAAGAGAGGTTAGCTCTTTCCAACTTGATGGGGCAGGAAATGATTAAAGAGATAAGCATTGGAAAGGAATTATTTTGTAGGATCTAAAGATCAGAGAAAGATTTGGAATTTAAAGTATCTGAAACATACAAAGGCAGCCTAGTAAATGATACTGTCCCGCCAGGGTGGATGTGTCAGTGCTAAATACCTGACGTACTATCTGGCTTATGAGTGGAGCACAGGCTGAGATTTGGGAGAAGGGTCTTATCACCAAAAAGCTGTTTTGTGAAATATACTATTAGCACTAAGATGGACCACATAGGACAAGAGTAAGGAGCAATGATCTGAGAGATCCAGGGATTAACCACTAGGCTAAGAAAGGAAGATGAGAGGCCTCACTTACCTGCATTCCTTGGCCAGCAGGCGCTCCCAGTACTGACAGTCTGCTGCACAGCCAGACATGGTGCCAAGCAGGTAAGGGTTAATCTCAATCACCTTGTTCACCCGTAAGGCACCTGGAAGAAGATGGAGCTTTGGGAGAGAAGGGATGACCCCATAGATCCCCCAGTGTGTCCTAAATCAATATCCACTTCCACTTTGTTGCAGAGTTGGCCTCCTGTGGAAAGGAGAGCCCAGCTCCCCAGATTCTGCCTGCTGGAGCGTATACACTCACTAATGTAGGACCCAGCTGAGGCCCGAGAATCCACTGCTGCAATCACTCCATGCTGGAACTTGAAGGCGAGCGTGGTGGTGCCATGGGCCATCTCAATCTGAACGTTCCTTTCTCCGTCCCCACCCAGGGACTGGAAGAATTCTGTGGGCTGATAAGAGAAAAGAGGTTGAGAAAGGCAATGAAAAATTCTGTAGTAAGAGGCTCCAGGAAAAGGTTTTAGGGAGTATGAGGGTGAGGAGATATGCAGAAATGATCTAACCATCAATAAATGAAACAGTTAATAACCAATCTCTAGAAGGAAATGGCTTGGGAGAAGGAAAAGAAGAGGCATGCCAGTATCAACCTTTTCCATTTTCCAGCACAACAGAAATGAAAGCAAGCACATGTTACCATTACTAAAAAATTTTGAGAGTGACTTAAAGGGTTTCTTCCATGCATAAAGCATTCAACCCTCACAAAACACGTTTAGTAACAGTATCCTCACTTTACAGAAGAGGGGCTTGGGACCTAGACTAAGTGACTTGTTCTAAGTCGCGCAACAGTGAGTTGCTGAGAGGAGGCCAGCAGGCAAATTTCATAGGTTTCCCAAGACACCACACACCTCCTATATCATGTGATAACCCCATGAAAAAGGCTCCACCATTTGTGTGTGGACAAGGGCAGGGAAGTTCTCTTGTCTTCCTTTGGGAGCCCCCACCTCACCTGTAACTCTTTGTCCTAACTTGCACTTCCTCCTCTCAGGCCCCATCCCCATGTGGCCTCTTCTTTGGGTCTGGCGCTCTCCGGGACTGAAGGCTACCCCCGACCCTGTACCCCGCGCTCCCGCTCTCGCCTCCTCCTCTCAGGCGACCCTCCACTCCTCAGCGCCCGCCTCCCTGCATCCCTAGGGGCTTCCCTACTGCCCCGACCTGCATTCCCCGGGGTAAAGCGAGCTCTGGAGATCGCATAGAGAAACTGTAGTGTCCTGGGTCCGAGCGACGCCCGCTTCCCGCAACCGGGAGAGCCGATTCCGGCCGCTGCCCTCGGGGGGCTCCGCATACATCTAGTAGCGCCATGACCGCCCAGCACCCAGAGATCTGTCCGCTCTCGGAGGAGGAAGTGAAAGCGAAAGCCACAGATCGAAGGGGAGGGAACAAGACTCTTTTCCACATCCCCCTGCCTTTTCCGAGAAAAGGACAGTTAGTGCCTGGACCAGGACCATCACACTGGGGACCGGCTTCTCTGCTCTCCCGTTATGGGGGTCGGGGGAATGATGGGTCAAGGGTCTTCCGAAGAAAGCGAGAAAGGAACAGGCGCCTTCAAAAGCCCACTTGGCGATGGGTTACAGTAAGAGGTACCTCCAGGCCCGGGCATCCGCTGGAAACAGGGGTGGGTAGGGTCGTGTCATCTAAAGGCGCAGCTTCAACCAGAAGACTAGAAGTCAGCCAGGAGCTGGGAGTAGTGTCACGCGGGGTGGGGGTTCCTATGAGCATCACTTTACAAAACCAGGAGGGACGGAAGTGCGAGGGGGCAGAGTCTTGGAAACAGGTCCTGGGCCAACTGCAACAGAATATACCCGCCGCGTGTAGGGGAAGGCGGCGCCAGGGAGAGGGCGCAGTCTCTGAATCTTTCCACGGGGTCCATCCTAGGGCCCCTCCAGGTTCAACGGTCTCCTAACCTGTAGTCACCCACAAGAGCGTGCCCTTTCTGCCCGCCCTTCCTAGCGTTGCTCCCTGCTTGGCTGAGCACTGCGGAGTTTCACGCCTCTAAACCCCGCCTCTTCTTGCAACCTGTGTTGGCCTCATCTACCCAGCAACTGTCGACGTCACACGACCTGGGCCTCCCTGAATGGGAGATATTTACTAGGCAATCCCGCCTACTGTTCTGAGGTTTCCCCTCCAGGTGCAGCTTCAGAGCCAGGCGAGCCAGGAAGGACCAGCGGGCGAGGTGGTGAGTTGTGAGGCGCGCCCAGTCCCTCTGTTCCCGCCTGGCACTTGCTCTGGCC